>NT_187568.1:0-282736 GCF_000001405.40 Homo sapiens
CAAACAACCCAGGAATAATTCAGGAAATGACGAGAAACATATTTCACAGTGTTAGCTATGGCGGTTGCAAACCTGGCGAGGCCTCCGTTCCTACTCAAGGGACAGCAGCGTTGACGCGCAGCTTGTCCCATTTTGCAGGCAGGACACACCTAACCTCCCGGTGGAAATGTGTTTGCTGGTGGGTGTTCTGCTGTTTTTGCCAAGGCTTTATTCTTTGTTGATGATTCACATGTTGTTTTATCCATTAGGTAATATTGTAGGGCTCAGTATAAGTAAATGCAAATTGTCCTCTGAATTCATTAGGAAATTATTTTAAAAGGCACTTATGCATAAATTCTCATCCCACCAACTGTTTAGACTAAATTTCTTTTGAAAGAAATTCCAACCTTCTGCATCAGTGTTTCTAACACAGTTTTCTGTAATTCTCCTGAACCGTTTGTAGAAACAGTCATTTCTTGGTTTCATGAGTTTATGGTGGGGTCTCTTTTGTGGAGTGAGCACCGTGTCATGGCCAGGAGAAGGCTCCGGGCCTCGTCCAGAACAAAAATAATCCACGGGCTGAGTCGCACCCAGATTCCCACGTGTCCTGTGGTGGACGGTACCCTTTTCTCAGGTGTCTTGGAGCGAGTCCTGGACAGTCAGGAGGATTGGACTCCAGTTTTTTTTTTTTTTTTTTCTTGAGACGTAGTCTCACTCTGTCGCCCAGGCTGGAGTGCAGTGGCATAATCTCAGCTCACTGCGGCCTCCGCCTTCCGGGTTCATGCCATTCTCCTGCCTCAGCCTCCCGAGTAGCTGAGACTACAGGCACCCACCACCTCGCCTGGCTAATTTTTTGTATATTTACTAGAGACGGGATTTTGCCATGTTGGCTAGGCTGGTCTCGATCTCCTGACCTCGTGATCTGGCCTCCCAAAGTGCTGGGATTATAGGGGTGAGCTGCCTCGCCTGGCCAGACTCCAGTTTTATTCCTGGAAATAACTGTGTGATCCTGGGAAAACCTCTTGACTCCACCATAGCCTCAGTTTTCTCACCTGTGAAATCAGCAAGTGAGAACAGATCTTGTCCACCGTTACTTGGAACCTCAGGTGTTTTGAGTCCAGTTGGACGTGGTTGAACTTGAAGCCTCAGCTTTCAAATGGCTTCCCCAGGGCCCCAAAGTCTGGTGTTGACTGAGGATGCACTGCTGACATGGGACTGTGGGAGGTCTCTGATCATGATGTTGTTTTATATTTTACTTATTAACATACATAATTGATCCACAAAATCAGGAAAATAAATCATAGTACTTTTCCACTGCCACAGAGGATATGGGTTATTTGAATATCTGAGTCAGTTTGTGTCTCTCTCCAGAAATACAGATATGAATATGGCAGTGAAATGGATTTCAGGGACATGCTGTGAAATCTTGTACTTTGCTATTTGTGAATTGTCTATGCATGCACGATTCCGTTGGAAGGTGTGAATCCTGTGAGGTTTCTTTGGTGCGTATTATTCCTGTTGCTCACGGCCAAGGAGGTTCAGAGACACAGTGGTTAAGGGACCAGCCTATTTTGTGGAAGGGGCAGTGGCAGGATTGGACTGGAAATTGGGGTCTGGACATGCTCTGCACCAGGGTTATTTAAGGATGTGCTTTGATACCAATGACATGGATTTCCTTGTAAGTAAACCCTCAAGTCATTGATGGAGTGCTAGATTGCATCACACAACAAATATTGATGACATCCCAAATATTTAAGGTTAGCTGTCCTTAGACTCACTGTGAAGAATAATTTCTCCATTCTCATTTCTGTGTAAACAGATACAGCACCTTGTTGTGTTTCGGCATTCCACTGGTGCGCACACCACTTGGAATTAAAATTTCAGGATGCTGGATATTAACCGCTGTCAGATGCATGCTTTGCTAGTATTTTCTCCCATCTGTGGGTTTTCTCTTCACTCTGTTGATTGTTTCCTTTGCTGTGCAGAAGCTCCAGTTTGATAGAATCCTCAGCACCGCGGATCATCGGGGAGATACAAATCAAAACCACAACGAGCTGTCCCCTGGCCCCTGTTCGACTGGCTTTCACCAAAAAGACAAAGACAGCAGATGCCAGTGCGGATGTGGAGGGAGGGGAACTCTTACACGCTGTTGATGGAAATGTAAATTAGTACAGCCGCTATGGAAAACAGTGTGGAGGTTTCTCAAAATGCTGTGATCCAGCAATCCCACTACTGGCTACAACCCCAAGGAAATGAGGTTGGTGTGTGGAAGAGAATCGGCCCCCAGGTCCATTGCGGCACCCTTCCCCACAGCCCAGAAACGGAATCAGCCTGTGTGTCCATCAACAGGTGAATGGATAAAGAAAATATGGTACACAGTGGATATGACTCAGCCATCAAAAGGATGAAATCCTGTCATTTGCGGCAACGTGGATAAACCCAGAGGACGCTTTGCTAAGTAAAGTGAGCCAGGCAGAGAAAGGCAAACACCGCATAATCCCACTCGTGCAGAATCTCAGCAGATCTCACAGGAGCAGAGCGTAGAGTGATGGTTACTGGGGACTAGGGGAGGTGGGAGGACAGGGATGCAGGAAATGAGTTAGCAGGTGCAGGGACTTGGGTAGGGGAAGAAGCTCTTGTGTGCTGCTGTGCAGAAGGGTGACTACAGGTGAGAATATCGTACGGTATGTCCCAAAATAGAAGAAAAGATTTGGAATGTTCTCAACGTAAAGAAACGATGAAAGTAGGAGATGATGGAAACACTACACACCCTAATTTGTCCATTGCACAAAGTCTCTGTGGATTGGAACATCTCACTGTGCCCCATGAATAAGTACAACTATTGTGAGTCAACTAGAAAATTTTAGAAACCTCACTATTCTGGGACATCTTTTGGCCAGAAAAATATATAAGGCCAATCTCTGCAGTGGTTTTGGGAGAGACTTGGATTATCAAGCTACTTCCACATGATACGATATTTTAATTCACTTCCGCTCAAATGACTGGGAGTGAGGAGCTACAAGCATAGGATTCAAGGATGACAGTCACCGGTGCACTTTCAGTAAACCTTTTGCCGTTGCACAATGCTGAGTGTTCTCTGTTTCAGAAGCAGGTGCACCTGTCGATGGGAGGCCCATGGGAGCTGCCAGGGTCCTGCGTTAACACTGAGAATTTGTTTTTAAAAAGGGATGGCTGAAAATATTAAAATATAAAATATTAATATTTATATTGGTCAGTGTTCTCGTCATTGATAATTATAAGACAAATTATACACCTCCCTCTTTAAATGTTTCTTCTTTAATATTTCAAGTTAAATGTATTCTTAGATATAGGAAAACTGGGAAGTGGATTTAGGAATCTCAGATATAAACTTGTTGAACATCTGAATCTTTTCTAGATGGAGTAACCTTGTTTCCATTCTCAGATTTGGAAATGATATTGTTTTCAATCTCAGCTATGCGGTCTCATGGCCGCTGTCCCTGTAGGACCCCCAGGGAACAAGGGGGCCCCTTCCAGATCTCCACAGGCTCACCTGGCCCACCAGGACGACGGGTGCCCTCGCTGGACACGCTGTCTGCAACATCTTGGCTCCAGCAAGATTGATGTATGGAAATTTCCTTTAAGGGATCTTCTAGCTGTTTCTGTTAAATTCCAGTTAATACCAAATGACAGAGAGGAGAGTTATTGCTACTAAACGCTGAGCTCATGCCACAGGCTCATGCTTTTATATTAGCTTCTGGCGGAGAAGATGGGTTTTAAGATTGTGCTCTAGAGTTAGACTTTCTGGGATGTGTCTTGATTTGCGGCGTCAGGTCTACTTGCAGCCTCCTTTCAAGCCTCGTGCTGTTCTCAGTGTTGATCAGATTCTGTGATGTTCCCCGGGGCTGAGTTTACTTTGTGAGCCATTGTGTGACTTCCAAAATCTATAATTCTTCATCTGCCTTCTCATCCTTTTCCTTCCAAATTGCTCACCTCTCTCCAGCATATGCACTTCCGTGGCATTTACTGTTAGGAAAGATAAGGTTTATAGCTAAATCCGGTTTTAAGGTTGTGGGAATGGCCACTCGCCCTCACAACGTGCTCTTCTTTTTATAAGGCCGCTGTGAGCTGCGTGGATGTCTGCCATGGAGCCCTTTTCTCTCCTGGCAGGGATGGACCTTCGTGTACATTCCAGCTCATTGGATGGGTCTGCCCAGCTACAGGGTCCTGAGCTTGCCCCCTCAGAGAGAGGTGTGGTCTGCGGCTCACAGCAGGGCAGTAGGGAACAGCTGCTGAATGCATTCACTTGAAATAAGAACATCTTTTTCTGGCCCTCCCTGTTCAGCCTACATTCAAAACAGGGCAAGGGGAGTGCTTAGTTGGGTATGGTATTCTAATCCAGTTACTTTTATGGGTCTCTTTTTAAATTTTTTATGGGGAAGAAACTGTGTTCTTGGGACAGGATGGTGTTTCGGAGCCATGGTGCTTATTGGTTTATCTCAGGCACAGTGGCGGGCAGAGTCCTCTGCTCTGTGTGTCCTGCAGCACGGTTGGCCGGGGCCCTCGGTGCCTCTCACATACCCTCAGCACCCTGACACCCCGCGCCTGGCCAGGCTTCTTACCCCAGGCCTGTCCAGATCTTCCGGGGCCGTGCCGGTATCTCTCATGGACTCTCTTCTACAAGGGGCCCTGATTCCCCCTTCCAGTGTCTTGTCCAGGAAACGTGCGTGGGGCATGTGCTCTGTGTTGGAAGTCAGTGCCAGGCGGGCGCAGGTGACCAGACCAGGAGAGCCCAGGGCCTGGGAACCATGTCTCTGGGTCCAGGGCAGCATCTCCTCAGGCCTGTCTTCCAGTGCTTTCATTTCAGTTCCCGTCTGCATAGGGTAGCTGATCAGTCCCCACCTTCTGGTAAACTCACTTCTCGAGGGCCTGGCCTGTCAGTTGATTCTGAAAAGAAGGGTCTGAAGGACCAGAGTGCTGGGGGTCGTGTCTCTGTGGGGCTGGAGAGTTGGCCTTGGTCCATGTGGCCATCGGGAAGCGCTTGCTGCCACCTGTGACGGCTCCTGGGAGCTGTGCAGCTTCTGGCCACCACGCCAGGGCCTTCTAAATACTTTCCCAGACGCTGTGTGCTGTGAGCATCAAAATAATAAATATTCCTTTCTAGAATCGACCGTTTCTCCCTTTCTATGACTCAGACTGGGATTTGCCATTCATTCCAGGTCCCCTGGGCCTTTCCCGCTCCCTGTGACTTGTTGGGAGAAGCTGCTCAGAGCCGGTGTTCTCCTGTCGCCCCAACATGCCACGTTCCCAGGGAAGCCACGTTCCCAGGGTCTGGAGATGGTGTCTTCATCCCTTACAGGCTCACTGCCTTGTGCTGGGGTTTGTTCTCTCTCCAAATCGAGGGCCTCTGTCCTTCCCCATGAGTCAGACATCCAGGTTTCCGCCGTTCTGTGCTGTTCACCTGTCAGCTGTCTAACCCGGTACCACTGATTCGTGTGCCGCCTACCGGCCGTCACCGTGGGCAAAGTGACCACAGACTTCTCAGTTCAGACACGGAGTTCGTAAATTAATGTTATCTTTGTTGATCGGGGATCTATTTGCTTTATGCAAGAAAAATGCTGAGTTTTCTTTGGGTCTTTCCTGGATGCAACCAGCTCTTTGCTTTTTGCAGCTTTATGTTGGAATATGTTGAACTCAAGTATGTATAATTATTCCAACTTCGTGCCCTCCTTGTTTTAATTAGCAAAAATAAACCCTTTAAGCTGTGATTATCCTAATTTGCTGGAGTCAGCAGGAAGCCTGGTTGGAGGAGGAGACAGAAGGTCCTTCAGAGGGTTCTAACAGGCGCTAATCCTTGAGATGTTACCTTCTTTCGATACCCAAACTAGTTGAGAACAAAAGGGGAACAGTGTTGTGATTATGTCATTACGTGGCTTTCTCTATGCTGCATTCAGGCTGGACCTGGTGGTAGCACGCTCTAGGGACATGCACACATCTGAGAAGGCTGTGGATCTGGGATTACTGATGATGAATAAGTCACTGACACTGGCTCGGGTGTAGCCTCATGATTTAATGTGAGACATTGCTGTCACCTGGCCACCTGTGCTTTCTGCTGTGGTAGTGGATGCAGGTTTCTCAGTGCGTAATTCCTGTTCATATTGGTTTCTTATAGGGGAAGTGAAGCTTTGAATGATTCTGTTTTGAATAAACCTCAAAATTATGAGATGTGAGCTGAGCATTATTTAAGCGGTGTGTTTAGTTTTCCACGTAACGCATTTATGACAAACATATTTGCTCAACTTTCTGTTGGCAGTTGTGCCAATTTTATACTCATTATGAAAAGATTTGTTAACATCTGAGGTGATAGTTTAATATTTTTGTATTATTAAAAAATTCAGCAATGGCTTCATCCATCATGCATCCATTGCTTAAAATGTATGATACTTACAAATTATTTGTAGGTGTCAGTTTTCAAAATGGTTATATACTTTAAGCTAATTAAAAATGATGTTGCATTTTTTCTTTATTATTTATATTTAAGGAGTGTAATTAACCCTATGGATACAGTGAGTAAAGGGTTTATGAGAGGAAGAAGATTGTTTTTTATTCTGAGCACTTATTTTTGTCTGTCCTGTGGGGTCACATGTTCTGGAATAGCTGTGGCTCTTGTATGTCAGCAGCTGTGGAGGTGTGTCTCGTTGTTAGTGTTGCTGTTGATCCTGTTCTTGTATCCACATGTGGATGCATGTACTTACAAGGTCACCTAGCACCTGTTCCTCCAGAAGAGGTTTATCTACAGAAAAATGAGCCATCTTTGTCATCTTACACGACACTCACAGAAACATCTCGCTGTGAGAAGGTCCCTGGTTGGCGCACGGTGAGCCGTGCACTGTTTCACAGCCCCACAGCCACACTGCTCAGAGTCAGTCTCAAGTGACCGGAGACGGTGATGTGTCACTAATCCAGAAAAAGTGTCCATCATCTCTGAGATGATCTAAAGAAGAGCTGCAGGTTACGTTAGTGTCTGCCTCGCTGGAGCATTCATGTGCTCTTCCAAGGGTGCGCGGCACCTTGAAGAAGGTGCTGGTGTGGGCTTTGGTGTGTCTGAGGCGTCTGCAGCCCTGTCTGTCACCTTGGAGTCCTCTTGCACAAACAGTGTTCCCTCTTCAGGTGGATCACGTGTTCATCTGAGGCCACCGCACCTCCGGGCCTAGAGAGCGCGGTCACTGCAGGCTGGACGCGTCAGGCAGCCCAGAGTGAGGGTGAAGTGGGGGCCGCGCAGGTTCCAGTCATTGTGTCTCCTGGTGTTTTGCGTTCTCCACAATGAAGTGAATATGTGACAATTTAAAAACTGAAATTGCTGTCTCAGAAAAGCTTTGATTACCGTTTGGTCTAACTTTGATCCACAGAAAAGGCTGCCGGGTTTCTCCACAGGCGTCCTGAGTACCAAGTCAGAAAGCAAGTTTCTGGGCCGGCTGCCCTGGGCCCTCCCTTCCTTCCTCTCCTCCTCGAGACCCTGCTTCACGCCTCTCTTCTTCCCCTTTATTTACATATACAGCTTAGTGTAATTTTGAGTCAGTTCATTTGTTTTCCCTGTGGTTACCAACCAGCCACCCCTAAACGGTTCCTCGGTGGCTGGAAGTCACAGTGTGGATCTTCTGTTACTGTTAAGCTGTTTTCGCGTCCTTCTTGCACCACATTTGATGAAGTGAGTTGAAGGTACTTGTTTCCGTTACAAGAGTCACGCCCTCCCTGTCAGATCCTGAATCCGAGATTTATTTGCAGTTTTGTTTCTCTAGCTGAAAGAATGCTGCGTGTTTTCTCTTTCAGCAAAAGAAAATTTGGTTTACGTTTGTACGCTGAGGGCTCAAATATACAGTAATTAAAATAGACGTCTCTTTATTTTACTCCGTGGAAAGTGATAGCATGTCACAATTAATCACTTTAAAAGCTCTCAAACATGGGCTTTTTAATAACTCCAAGACCTCCCTGTCTTTTCCAAGGCTGGCAGCTGGATAAAGGTGAATTTAATCAACATAAGAAAAATAAAAGACTCCTTAGTCTTAATGAATATGCGCATGTTTTGAACCGTAGTTGGAACATTCGGGGATCAGGAAGTGCTTGGGAGAGAACCCGTGATATTTTGGCAAGCCTGTTTCCCCAAATCTGGGTCACAGAAGCTGGATGTGGTGGTTTATGGTGACGAGTGGGCGGGCCTGATGGGCACCCCGGCAGCGGGACACGTTCTGAACAGCAGGACTCTGCTCAGGAAAGGACACATTCTGAGCAGCGGGACTCTGCTCTGGAAAGAGGACTAATCAGGGAGTACAGAATGAGGTTATTGGTGGTTTCTTCAGGAGAGCAGGGCCATTTAGAAACTGGCTGAGAAAGATACCGTGCCTAATTTACAAAAAAAAAAAAAATGATTTGAGACTTAAAGTCAAATTCTGGGTCGTCTTTTCATTTCTTATTGTACATTTAACCATTTTGTAGCTACAAAACTATTGCTTTCTTAAGATTTTCTCTCTGGCTTCTGTAATAGTCCATTATCTTGATTTTATTCTATGGCTATTTCTTTCCTCCAAAATGTGGATATTTTCCAAAGTTTTCTCGCCGATATTTCTCCTGACAGGATCCCTGAGCTGTCATCACTTAACAAGTGCGGTTATTACAATCATGCAGATGATGCTTATAAACCTCTGTCTTCCATGCTGACCTCTCTTCCAGTACTGGACATCTTCACTGAGAGGTACTGACAGCTCTTAAAACCGGCATTCCTGTTCCCTCCCAGGACCCTAAACACGCAGCTGCCCTTGAAGACTCACTGCTTATGTTAGTGGGTCTGTCTCCTTGGCACCCCGGCTTGAAAACCTGGAGAATTCAAATTTCCTGCACTTTCTCACCCCTTTGCCGTCTGTCTCCTCTCACTTCCTGCTCTGTCTCCTCTCACTTCCTGCTCTGTTTCCTCTCACTTCCTGCTCTGGTTCCTGGACTCCTCAGGCACAACACAGCCTCATTCTTTTGGTTTTCCTTCCTGTGGCCATGGCCCTAATCCAGACTATTATCCAGCTTTTGGATCTGCCGCTTCTTGGTGAGAGATTTCCAGAAACCTCCTCAGCACCCCAGCACATTCCCTGAGCCCCTGGAGTGGGCTGTGGGTCTCCGCATGTCTTCGTGCCCTGGTGACATCCATGAATGAGGGAGTGGAGGGCTGCCGGGCCGGGCCTGGAGTCTTGGCTCTCTTTCCCTCACCGCTGATAAGGACAGAACTCGGGAATCTGAGAATCACGTCTTGGGGGCTCAGCAGGTCTCTGTGACCATCCTGTGGTCATTCCCCTAATTCCAAAATGCGTAACTGTGGTAGACGTATCTGGCACCTGAGCTCAACATTTTCCTTCCCCTGGTTCTTCAGAATAAATAAAAGGGACTCAGTGGTCCCCTTAACCTTCCCTGAGATGTTCTGTGGCAGTGCGCACTGTTTGACATCAGTCAGAGCCTGACCACCTCTGGGCACCAGTGTGCAGGTGTCTGCCTGTGAGGATTTATGCCACCGTTGGGTGCCGTGCCCTGCCCAGCCTGCACCCCTTCCCACAGAGAAGGCCGGTTGCAGGCCCGGTCCAGGGTCCCCCGTGCATTTCTTCAGATGGCCATCCAGTGTCCACACCTGAATTAATTGGCTGCACTATCTTCTGTCCAAACTGTTAGTTGAGTTTTGGATGGAACCTTTATCACCTGCTACATTTCCATTTGCACTTTGGGTTACTTTTGTATTTTGCTGTTCTAAGAACGAGTTTTGTCAAATCTGACAGGGTGATCCTGCTTCTGAGTCCACCGTTGCTCATTTTCCTACATGTTTCTTCATCCAGATAAACTTTAAAATCAGTTTTCAAGTTTCTAAAGAATTATGTGTGAAATTTTGATTGGGATTATCCAGGTTTAGCATCCTAAATCTTAAAATTTGAAATCCAAAGTGTTCCAGCTTCCAAAACCTTTAGAGAGCTGACATGATGCTCAATGGAACTGCTCATTGGAGCATTTCGGATTTGGATATTTGGATTTGAGACATTCAACCAGATAAGTATAGTCCATATCTTCCAAAATATGAAAAAAAAAACCAATTTGAAGTACTTCTGGTCCCACGCATTTTGGGTAAGGGACACTCAGCCTGAGCTGGATTTACAGATCAATGGGAGAAACTGACCCTCTGTTAAGGATGTGGCGTCTCACAGAGAAAGGTGGGCCCACCTACTTGTTGGCATGTATATTAAGTAATTCTTATTAATATTTCTTTCAAGGTCTTCATCCCTTCATGCATTTTTTGTCTACTTGGTGTTATTTGGGCTGTTCTTGTTGAATTTCTTCTTACATACTCTACAGTTTTTGCGTTAGCTATTTCCACACATATAACAGATTTTGTGATATGATTATAACAGATATTTTTGTGCTGTTCTTGTTTAGGTTTATATCATTGTTTTCATTGCTTAGAAACTTAAGAAAATTATGTGGTTTTCTTTATGCTATGTGTGTATTTAGTGAGCTTTCTTCTCATTTTTCTCCAGAAATTTAGAAGGAATTTATTCTAAGGTTCATTTTTAATAATGTAATTAAATTATATTTTTTTATTATTCAACTTCAAAGCCAGAACTATTAGGACAGATGAAAAGATGCTGCACTTATATTTAATGACAGCTAAAGTTCCTTTCAACAGAGGAAAGTTTTCTCTCACTTCTTTTCTTTTTTTTTTTTTTTTTGAGACAGAGTTTCACTCTTGCTGCCCAGGCTGGAGTACAACGGCGCGATCTCGGCTCACAGCAACCTCTGCCTCCCGGGTTCAAGCAACTGTCCTGCCTCAGCCTCCTCAGTAGCTGGGATTACAGGCATGTGCCACCACGCCCGGCTAATTTTGTATTTTAGTAGAGATGGGGTTTCTCCATGTTGGCCAGGCTGGTCTCAAACTGACCTCAGGTGATCCACCCACCTTGGCCTCCCAAAGTGCTGGGATTACAGGCGTGAGCCACTGCGCCCGGCCTTCTCTCACTTCTTAAAAGCAGTTTTATTGAGATATAATTCATATACCCCATACTACTCACCCATTCAAAGTGTACAATCCGCTGGCTTTTATTATATTCAAAGAGGTACATGCAACTATCACCACAGTCAATTTCAGAACACTCTCCTCACCCAAAATTGAAGCCCTGCACTATTTAGGCACCCTCTCTGTCCTCCACCCCTGCCTCCTGTATCAGCACAGTCAGTCCTCAATATCCAGGGTGGGGCAGGTGCCAGGACCCCCACAGATACGCAGATCCACGGATGCTCAAGTCCCTGATGGCAAAAGGCTATTTTTGCCTATAACCTACACACATCCTCCTGCATACTTTAAATCATCTGTAGAGTACATATAAAGCTTAATACAGTGTAAGTACTATGTGCATGTATGCATGTGTAGTATTACAACTGATTCTTTATATTGACCACACATGCTCCCACATACTTTAAATCATCTCTAGATTATTTATAAAACTTAATATAGTGTAAATGCTTTGCATGAATAGTATTAAAACTGATTCTCTATATTGACCTCATGTCCTTCAACCTTGCCAAACTCATTTATTAATTCTAATAATTTTTAGTGAATGTTTTAGATTTTTTTGTATATGATATCATGCCATCAGGAAATAGAGGTAGTTTTATGATTTCTTACTTTAAATCTGAATGCCTTTTACTTCTCTTCATTACCCTGGCTAGGACCACCAGCACAATTTTGAAATGAAGGAGTGAGAACCAACATCCTTGTCTTGTTCCTGATCTTAGAGAAACAGAATTTAGTCTTCCACCACTAAGTATGACGTTAGTTATGTGGTTTTCATAGATGCCTTTTATTAAGTCAAGGAACTTTCCTTCTATTTCTAACTTATTGCTTGTTTTTAATTAATACTTTATAATTCTCTATATATAATTGCTGCATTCATTTTACTAATATTTTGTTGAGGATTTTTTAATCTATATTTATGAGATATTCATCTTTAGCCTTTTTTTCTTATGATGTATTTGCCTGGCTTTGATATTAGAGTAATATTGGCCTGATAAAATGAATTAGGAAGTACCTGCTTTTTTTCCATTTCTTGGAAGAATTTATGAAGCATTGTTATTAATTGTTCTTTAAATAGATATAAAGAAAGTTTGTTTTGTGGCTTAGTTAAGGTTTGTTTTGATTTGGCAGAATTCAGTAGAGATGTCGTCTGGGCCTGAGCTTTTCTTTGGGAGGACAGTTTTTTGATTTGCAGTCTTCACTCTCGAGACGTCTGTTTAGATTGTTTTCTCTTGAGTCAGTTTTGGTAGTTTGTGTCTTTCTAGAAATGTGTCCATTTCATCTTAGGGCATCTACTTTGTTAGTGTAAAATTATTCATAGTGTTCCTGTACAATCCTTGTTATTTATGTAAGGTCTGTGATGATACCCCTCTTTCATCTGATTCTATTAAACTGAGACTTCTCTTTTTTTTCTTTGTCAATCTAGCTAAAAGTTTGTCAATTTTGTTGATATTTTCAAAAAGCCACCTTTCCATTTCATTTACTTTCTCTTTTTTTCTGTTCTCTATTAGTTTCTGTTTTAATATTATTATTTTTTCTTTTTTCTGCCTGCTTTACATTTAGTTTGTTCTTCTTTTTCCAGTATCTTAAAGTGGAAGTTTAGCTTCTTCATTTGAGGTCTTTCTTTTTCCTTCATAGAAGCATTTACAGCTATAAATTTCCCTTGAACCCTGCTTTGGCTGCATCTCATAAGGTTTGATGTGTTGAGTCTTCATTTTCAGTAACCTCAAAGTATTTTCTAATTTCCTTTGGGATTTGTTCTTTGTCCCATTGGTTATTTGGGAGTACATTGTTTAATTTACACAAACTGGTGAATTTCCAAAACTTTTTTCTGTTGTTGATTTCTAATTTGATTCCATTGTGATTAGAGAAAACAATTTGTGTTATTTGTATCATTTTAAATTTATTTTTAATAATAGGTTTGTTTTATGGCTTAACATATGGTATATTCTGGGAATGTTTTATGTGCATTTGAGAAGATCGTATATTCTGCTGCTGTTGTTGGATGGAATGTTGTATTGGTGATTGCTAGGTCTAATGGGTTTACAGTGTTGTTCAAGCCTTCTCTTTCCTTGTTGATCTTTTGTCTAGTTGATCTATCCATCATTAAGAGTGTGGTATTAAAGTCTTCGGCTATTGTTGAACTTGTGTCTTCATTTTTGTCAGTTTTTGCTTCACATGTTTTGGTGCTCTGTTGTTAAGGTGCATGTGTGTGTATATATGTATGTCTACATATGCATACACACATGTACATATATATTTATAATTGTTATTGCTCCTGATGGGTTGTCTCTTTTATAGTTAGTTCCTCTTTATCTGTAGTAACAGTTTTTGTTTTAAAGTCAATTTTGTCTGATATCAATGTAGCTATTCTAGCTTTCTTGTGATTGCTGTTAGCATAATATATTTTTCTATCCTTTTACTTTCAATCTATTTGTATCTTTTAATCTTTAAAGTGTATCTCCACTAGGCAGGGTAGAGTTGGATCTTTTTTAAAAATTAAGTCTGACAACATGCTTCTTTTGATTATATTATTTAATCCATTCACATTTAATATTATCATTGATATAGTTGGATTTACATCTACTGTTTTACTTTTTTCCCCTCATATGTCTCTGATATGGTTTGACTGTGTCCCCACCCAAATCTCATCTTGAATTGTGGTTCCCATAATCCCCACGTGTCATGAGAGGGACCCGGTGAGAGGTAATTGAATCATGGCGGCAGTTTCCTCCATGCTATTCTCGTGATAGTAAGTTCTCATGAGATCTGGTGATTTCATAAGGGGCTTCCCCTTTCCCTCGGCTCTCATTCTTCTCCTTTCTGCTGCCATGTGAAGAAGGATGTGTTTGCTTCCCCTTCCACCATGATTGTAAGTTTCCTTGGGCCTCCCTAGCCCTGCTGAACTGTGAGTCAATTAAACCTCTTTTCTTTATAAATTACCCAGTCGTGAGTATGTCCTTATAGCAGTGTGAGAATGAACTAATATAGTCTCATACCTTTTTTATTTCTTCATCCCTCCTTACTCATTTTTTTGCATTAAGTGAATATTTTCCACTGTAGCATTTTAAGTTACTTAAGGATTTTTTCACTATATTTTTGAGTCATTTATTTCGTGTTTGCTCTAGAGTTTCCCATATATGTTTTAGCTTATTAAAATCAGTTTCAGACTTATGCTGGCATAATTCTAGTAATAAATAGAAGCATTACTTCTATGTAGCTATACTATGTTTCCCCTCTTCTGTGGTATTATTATACTTATTACATCTCTTAATGTTGCAAACGCAACAGCACATTGTTATAATTATGACTTTACCACCTGTAATTATGTTCTTAGTATAACATAGCTTTGCTTCCACTAACCCTCTTCGTGCTGTTATTGACAAATATGTTACACATATATTTTTATGTTTGATAGGTCCACCAAGCTTTTTCATATGTATTATTTTATACAATTTTATTTTAAATCAGTTAGGAGGACAGAAAATATGTTAATACAGTCTTTTATAATTATGTAATTACCATTACCAGTTATCTTAATTTTTCATGTGGATTTTAATATTATCAGGGGTCACTTGCTTTCAGCCTCAAGAACTTTCTTTAGAATTACTTGTAAGGTTGATCTGCTAGCAATAAATTCTCTGAGTTTTTATTTTTCTGGAAATGTCTTTATTTTGTCTTCATTTTTGAAGAATAGGTTTTCTGGATACAGCATTCGTGATAGACAGTTTTGTTTTTCTTTTGAATACTTTCAGTATGTTATACCACTGCTTTTCTGGCCTCTACTGTTTCTGCTGAGAAGTCAACTATTAATCAGATTGGATTTCCTTTGTAAGTAACAAGTCATTTTTCTCTTGTAGCTTTTAAGATTTTCACCTTTTCTTTGACTTTCAGTATTTGTACTGTGACTTATCTGTTTGTAACTCTCTTTGCTTTTATCCTTGTTGGAGTTTGTGGAGCTTCCTGGATGTGTACATTATTGTTTTTCAGTATGTTTGGGAGGTTTTCAGCTATTATTTTTTGCATATCTTTTTTGCTGCTTTCTCTTACCTCCTTCTGATGTTCTCATTGTGCTTGTGTTTGTGTGCTCTAGGTGCCCTATGCTTCTGAGCTCCTTCAGTTGTCTCTGTCTTCTTTCCTGTCTCTGCTTTAGCTTGCAGAACATCTATGGATCTGTTTTGCAGTTTGCTTATTCCTTTTCCTGATGTTGGAATCTACAGTTAAACCCCACGAATGAGTTTTTATTTCAGTTATTTTACTTTTCCAACAGCGGAATTTCCATATGGTTATTTCTATATTTTTACCAGGTTTTTTTTTTTTTTATTTTTTGCAACATTCTTCTACCATCTTTACCTCTTCAGTCATAGTCTCCTTTGGTTCTGGGAACATCTTTATGACTCCTTTGAAATCTTTTTCTAATAAACCTGGCCTCTGGTCACTTCCACAGGTAGTTTGTGTTGCCTGCCTCTTATTGTTTTTTCATTGTATGGATCATACTTTCCTATCTCTTTGCATGTCTCATGATTTTTTGTCAGAAACTGGACATTTTGATATATAATGTCACAGTTCTTGCCAGTGATAGTGGTCCTTCCCCCACACCTGGGCTTGTTTTTGTTGTTTCTTCGTTCAGTGATTGGCTGGGTTTGTTTAGAGGAGTCTAGACTCTCTGCCCTGTCCCCCATGGTGTTTAGCCTCTGATGTGGCTCCTTGTTGGGGGCAGGGGTTGCAGCTTTGGGTGTGACCCCCTTACCTGGTTGACAGTGGTATGGGCAGGCTTTCTTCCTCTCTGTCCCTGACCCAGGCAGCTATTAAACGCCACTAATTGCTGCTGATTGCAATTGTGGGCATACATTGCTTCACAAATAAATCTAATCAAATTGTGGCTTCTTTGAAGGAATAGTTTGAGGTTCCTGTTTGATACTTGCTTTGACACAAGAAGGATCCTCCCAGCTGTCTTATTCCCTAGTTCTTCCCTGCAAGCCAGTAACCTACAGGTTCACCTGTGTCTTGAATCTCTTCCCAGTTGCATTTCACCACAAATTCCAATGCTCCCGAGAGCTCCCTTAGGTTTAAGCTTCTTCATATTCTGTGCAAATGAGGTTTGGCTCCTTTGGAAAGAGATTGTGTTCCACGGCTCTGAATGCTAGCGATGGCCCATAACCATCTGCTTTTGTCCTGCTTCTCCAGCAGAAAAATGAAGACATCCCAAGTGGAGTCTCTTGACTTTCTGAGCTGGGAGGGATAGGAGAGAGCAGACTTGGTTCAAATCCCACAGGTACTTGTCTCCCTGAATTTTCGTAGCTTCTCTTGAAAGATATTTCTTCATTTGCTGTTTGCCAATGGACCATTTTCAGAGACTGTAGATGTTTTGTTGTTGTCTATAATTTTCAACAGTTTTCCTTGAGAGTACTGGGAGTCCTCATACTGTCATGCTGGAAGTCACTCTCCCATTTTTTAACAATGGGAGAGACTTGAATATATTTAAGTACTCATGGGAAAAAGTCAGTGGTGGGAGGAAAGTTGAATTTATAGACAGAGATGGAATAATTAATAGAAACAAATTCTTTTAGGAGAATACGGGATATAGAACAGAGCTAGAGTGTTTAGTTTGAGATCCATGGGACCCTCTGAATGTAACGGAAATCAGAGAGGAACACACGGTAGGTTTTGTGGTTCAAAGTTCAGAAAATTCTTGATGAATGCTTTGCTCTTCCTTGTGAAGGTGGTGGTGGGGTTGTGGGTCAGAGGACGATAAGTAGAGGTTGTGGGGACTGCAGAGCTATTGGGATGAATGAGAGAGTATATTTCTAGGAAAATGGGTTAGGATTTCCATGTTGTGATAGCCATTCTCAATCTTGTTGTTCCAGTGGTGCTATGGTTTGGTATGGTTGGTCCTCACCAAAACTCACTGAGGCTTGGTCCCCAGTGTAATGGTGTTGAGTGGTGGGAGGTGTTTGGTCCACGAGGGACCCTCATGGAGAGATTAAATGCCATCTCTCAGGAGTGAGTTCTCCTGGGAATGGGTTGCTTTCCAAGAAGGTGGATTTTATAAAGTGAGGCCACCTCTCCTGTTTGGCTTCTCTTTCACAAGGCCCACTTCCCCTCCTACTTCTCTACCATGTTGTGAGACAGCACAAGGCTCCCACCAGAAGCCATGGGCACCATGCTCTTGGACTTCGCAGACACTAGAATCATGAATTAAATACCTCTTCTCTTTGCAGATTACCCTGCCTCAGATACTGTGTTATAGCAACACAAAAGGGACTAAGACAGATGGCTTTTAGAGTCCTGGGACTGATGGTACTCTGGTCTGGGCTCAATGAAGGAGCCTACCAATATCCTAATTGGCCAAAACCAACTAGGTTGTGTGTGAAAGCAACTTGATTACATTATGTTCTTTATTTTTATTTTTTACATTGACAAATGCCATCTAAAATCTTACCTAGGATCACAAAGGGAGTTTGTGGATGTGTCAGTTTGGGTTGGACCAGTTTATTCACTGTGATACAAGAACAAGTCCAGAGGCACATAGATAATTTCCCTGTTAGCCACTGACTAGAGAAGAATTATTCACTCTCTGGGCAATAATTTGTGAAGACCATTCCCCGGAGAAGAAATTTGTTTTGCTGTTAGGACATTCACCGAAATGACACTGTCTGCTTGGGGAGCGTAGGGTTTACTTGAAGATAGAGGTCCTTTGGGTCTGGTGGTACCCATGGATAAGTTCCCATGCAGGTGTCACTTTCCCCAGGTGGGGGTGTTGAGCGCTAGGCTCAGTTTGTCCTGTGAAGGCATCTTTCTGCCATCATCCCTGCCTTAGGTTAGAGTCATTACCATCTGACCCACGATCTAGTCTTTGAACATCTCTGGTTCCTTCCTCCATCTCCCCGTTGTCTTCATTAGTTTCCTAGGAGCCAAGAACACACAAATCCGTTCTTTAGTTACTTGTGCTACAACCTCCCTTCTGACTCACTTCCCTCCCTAATCTATCATTTTGTCACTTGGCAAAATTCCATTGTTGAATTTTTTCATCATTGACCTTTATCACTCTATACCCCAAAGAGTTGATTGCTCCTAGGGAGAACCATGTATCTGGGCAGTGGATGCTGCTAAAAATAAAACCATAGCAACAACAGCCTCCACTTTATGTGAGCTCTCATTGTTACCTGGACTGTCTTCTCCATGTCATTGTCAAGCACTTCTCCATTCTCCTTCCGTGTCTCTCCTCCCTAATGGAATTTTATATCTTAACCATATCCCTCGAGTCTGCAGCCTCCTTCTTTACTCATTTGATCTCAGCAACCAGTGGGTGCCCTTGTTTTGTGTAAGAAATGTAGAGGTCTTCAGGAAATTCTGTCCTGGCCTTCTTGTCCTGCTGCTTCCAAATTCATCAGAACTGGTCTTTCCTTTGAGAGGGGTGAGGGGAAGTTTTCTTTGCATCCGTGGTGTTTGTGTTCACCTGTGTTCTTGGCCCCGCCCCTTCTCCCTCCACTGCACTTGCATCTCCTTCTCTTAGGTTTGTTCCTCCGTCCCTCTTTTTGACCACATCCTCCTAATCAATTTCTGTGCTTCTAATATTCTCCTCATGCACACACTTTGTGCATCCTGCCACCGAGGCCATGCGTCTTCTAGAATGTAGATGTGCTTCTGTCTCACATGAGACACCATAAATCATTCCCCAGGAAAGTGTCCACACTCACACACAGAGGGTTCTGCTATCTGGCTCCTGTGCGGGGTGACCGTCCAGTGTGTGTCCCCTCTCCAGCCCTTGCCTGCGACATGGCATCCGTGCTGGGGAGACTTTGTAGGTGGGTCGGGGTGACCGTCCAGTGTGTGTCCCCTCTCCAGCCCTTGCCTGCGACATGGCATCCGTGCTGGGGAGACTTTATAGGTGGGTCGGGGTGACCGTCCAGTGTGTGTCCCCTCTCCAGCCCTTGCCTGCGACATGGCATCCGTGCTGGGGAGACTTTATAGGTGGGTCGGGGTGACCGTCCAGTGTGTGTCCCCTCTCCAGCCCTTGACTGCGACATGGTATCTGTGCTGGGGAGACTTTGTATGTGGGTCCTTTCTCTCCTGAGAATGTCCCCATCCCCCACTTGCCACTGTAACTCCTGCTCGTTCATGGACTCAACGCAGATGTAATTTTTGCTAAGAAGTTCCTCCCTCCTAAATTAGGGTGGGTGCCTCCTCCATGCATAAACATAATGCCCTGATCTCCACTCTGTTAATTTATAACTAGTCGTATCACTTAATATCTAATTGCACAGCCAACTTTCTATCTCCAGGACTTGCACAACAGCTCATGCTTGATAGGTGCTCAGTAAGTGGCTTATATATAAGTGAGTAAGGTCTACCTTCATTTTGCAAAGCTCAGGTGATATTCACAAGAATTTGCGAAGATTACATAAAAATGACTTAGAGCAATACACTTAATCTTACTTATTGCAAAGTAGAATCTTTCTTCTTAAAACAATTCAGGAAAGTTAAGCGACCTAGGATAGGGATTTTTACTTTTCAGAAAATTAATAGGCGATCTTCATTTGAGCTATAAAACTCTCTCAGAGTAGTCATACATCTACATGGAGTTAGCTTGGCTGTGAATCTCATTTATTCCTCAGTTTTATGTAGGACGTTTGCCCCGATAATTTGACTGGTTGTATCTCTATCTCTGTAAATAGAGATTCTTATTTCTCAGATTGTTCTGTTTTGGAAACAAAATTACAATGAGAAAACTTGAATGCACCAATAGAAATAAATGCAAAAGAACATTTATTTTCTCATCCTCTCCTTACCATTTCATCTCTCTTTTTTTTTTTTTTTTTTTTTGAGATGGAGTCTTGCTTTGTTGCCCAGGCTGGAGTGCAGTGGCACGATTTTGGCTCACTGCAACCTCCACCTCCTGGGTTCAAGCAGTTCTCCTGCCTCAGCCTCCCAAGTAGCTGGGATTATAGGCGCACGCCACCACTTGTGGCTGAACACACACACACACACTTTTTTTTTTTTTTTTAGTAGAGACAGGGTTTCACCATGTTGGCCAGGCTGGTCTCGAACTCCTGACCTTGTGATCCACCCGCCTCAGCCTCCCAAAATGCTGGGATTACAGGTGTGAGCCACTGTGTCCAGTCCATCTCTCTTTTTATTGGAAACATATGCCCTGTCACTTTGTTCCCAGAAATAAACCGTGAAGTGTCACAGAGAAAATATAAATTCTCCCACCCAATATCCAGTCTGGTTGAATTTATTCATTCCAGGATATCTGAGTCCCCTGCCATGCAAACTCATAGCCTCGTGTGGTATATTCCACCTTTCCAGAGGGCATAAGTGCTCACCTGTGTCCTGTTCATTCTGGGCACTGAATTGTGTGCCATTGGTCACATGATATCACCCAGTCCAGAGGCTTCCCTGTAAATACTTGAAATGGCTCCTTAATAGAGAACTTAAGAGAGGCGTCAGTGATGCTCCAAATGAGACGTGAGACCCAGCTGAGGCCTGAGACATGAATGAGACATGACGGGGATTTATCTAATTTAGTTAGCACATCATCAGAGATCTGCGGAGGCCTCTCCTGCGGGCACCCGTGCCTGGCCCAGCGGCACCTCTCCCTGCGGAGGCCTCTCCTGCGGGCACCCGTGCCTGGCCCAGCGGCACCGCTCCCTGCGGAGGCCTCCCCTGCGCGCACCCTCGCCTGATCCAGCGGTACCTCTCCCTGCGGAGGCCTCTCCTGCGCGCACCCTCGCCTGATCCAGCGGTACCTCTCCCTGCGGAGGCCTCTCCTGCGGGCACCCTCGCCTGATCCAGCGGTACCTCTCCCTGCGGAGGCCTCCCCTGCGCGCACCCTCGCCTGATCCAGCGGTACCTCTCCCTGCGGAGGCCTCCCCTGCGCGCACCCTCGCCTGATCCAGCGGTACCTCTCCCTGCGGAGGCCTCCCCTGCGCGCACCCTCGCCTGATCCAGCGGTACCTCTCCCTGCGGAGGCCTCCCCTGCGCGCACCCTCGCCTGATCCAGCGGTACCTCTCCCTGCGGAGGCCTCTCCTGCGCGCACCCTCGCCTGATCCAGCGGTACCTCTCCCTGCGGAGGCCTCTCCTGCGGGCAGCCGTGCCTGGCCCAGCGGCATCTCTCCCTGGCGTCAGCAGCTTTCCTCTCCGTTCCCCTCCGCCCCGTGGTGTCGTCACTTCTCGGCTGCTCACGCTGCGACGTTGTTTTGTTGGGTCGGATCTCTGCATCGGTCTGGGCATGGGTAACTACTCAGGATTAATGTCAGAAGTTGAGTTTTTGTTGGTGACACTGACAAGCTTTGTTTCCCTCCCTGTGCTCCACACGGGCTCTGGTCCTCTAACACAATCTTCCTGGGTCCCGTGCTCTGCAGGGCCAGGTCAGATGATTTCCTGAGCAGTGCGTATGTCCTGTGATGTCCTGTGTTGCTGGAATGGAGTGGATTCTTCTCTCTCAGTGAGGAATAGCTTTCTGATTGTGATCTCAGTGGAAGTCACGTGCTGTACCCACCACTGGGCAGACCTTGCTGGCCACGGCCTCCACGTGCAGTGACCGTTCTCTTGGCAGCGTCTCAGGCTGTCTGGACCAGCTGTCACAGTCTCGCTGTGGGTGAGTCACCTGAGGCACTGTATGGCGGATAGAAGGATTCATTGCCCTGGGAGGTAAGCCTGGGCCTACATTGGCCTAGGGACAGTTGTGAAGCTTATCTTGTTTTGATTCCCTGGTCACATAGAAATTTAGAATAATGATCCTTTTTAAAAAAAAATACAATAATGCTTTTATTACTTGATATGCAAATGCATATTCTTTTTTTTCCCTTAATTTCTTCTTAAAAAAAAAAACCCAGGATACATGTACAGAATGTGCAGGTTTGTTACACAGGTACGCGTGTGCCGCGGCGGTTCGTTACATAGGAACGCGTGTGCCGCGGCGGTTCGTTACGTAGGAGCGCGGGTGCCGCGGCGGTTCGTTACGTAGGTGCGCGTGTGCCGCGGCGGTTCGTTACGTAGGTGCGCGTGTGCCGCGGCCGTTCGTTACGTAGGAGCGCGGGTGCTGTGGTGGTTTGCTGCACCTATTAACCCATCCTGTAAGTTTCCTCCCCCCACTCCCTAACTCGCAACAGGCCCTGGTGTGTGTTGTTCCCCTCTCTGTGTCATTGTGTTCTCATTGTTCATCTCCCACTTATGAGTGAGAACATGTGGTGTTGGGTTTTCTGTTTCTGTGTTAGTTTGCTGAGGATAATGGCTTCCAGCTTCATCCATGTCCCTGAAAAGGACATGATCTCTTTGCTTTTTATAGCTGCATAGTATTCCATGGTGTATATGTACCACATTTTCTTTATCCAGTCTATCATTGATGGGCATTTGTGTTGGTTCCATCTCTTTGCTATTGTGAATAGTGCTGCAATAAACATACATACGCATGTGTCTTTGCAGTAGAATGATTTATAATTCTTTGGGAATATACCCAGTAATGGGATTGCTGGGGCAAATGGTATTTCTAGTTCTGGAACCTTGAGGAATTGTCATACTGTCTTCCACAATGTTTGAACTAATGTACATTCCCACCAACAGTGTAAAAGCCTTCCTGTTTCTCTGCAGCCTCAGCAGTATCTCTTGTTTCTTGACTTTTTAATAATTGCCATTCTGACTGGCATGAGATGGTATCTCATTGTGGTTTTGATTTGCATTTCTGTGATGATCAGTGATGTTGAGCTTTTTTTCATGTTTGTTGGCTGTGTAAATGTCTTCTTTTGAGAAATGTCTGTTCATATCTTTTGCCCACTTTTCGATGTTTTTTTTTTCCTGTAAATAGTTTAAGTTCCTTGTAAATTCTGGATGTTAGATCTTTGTCAGATGGGTAGATTGCAAAAATTTTCTCCCATTCTGTAGGTTGCCTGTTCATTTCGATGATAGTTTCTTTTGCTCTGCACAAGCTCTTTAGTTTAATTAGATCCCATTTGCCAATTTTGGCTTTTATTGCCACTGCTTTTGGCATTTTTCAATGAAGTCTTTGCCCTTGCCTATGTCCTGAATGGTGTTGCCTAGGTTTTCTTCTAGGATTTTTATCGTTTTGGATTTTAAATTTAAGTCTTTAATCCATCTTGAGTTAATTTTTGTATAAGGTGTAAGGAAGGGGTCCATTGTCCGTTTTCTGCATATGGCTGGCTAGTTTTCCCACCACCATTTTACTGAATAGGAGATCCTTTCTCCATTACTTGTTTTTGTCAGGTTTGTTGAAGACCAGATGGTTGTAGATGTGTGGTGTTATTTCTGAGGTCTCTGTTCTGCTCCATTGGTCTATATGTCTGTTTTGGTGTCAGTATCATGCTGTTTTGGTTACTGTAGCCTTGTAGTATAGTTTGATGTCAGGTAGCATGATGCCACCAGCTTTCTTCTTTTTGCTTAGGATTGTCTTGGCTATATGGGGTCTTCTTTGATTTCATATGAAATTTAAAATAGTTTTTTCAAATTCTGTGAAGAATGTCAGTGGTAGTTTGGGAATAGCATTGAATCCATAAATTGCTGGCAGTACGGCCATTTTCACAGTATTGATTCTTCCTATCCATGAGGATGGAATGTTTTTCTATTTCTTTGTGTTCTCTCATTTCCTTGAGCAGTGGTTTAAGTACTTCTCCTTGAAGAGGTCCTTCACATCCCTTGTTAGCTGTATTCCTAGGTATTTTATTTTCTTTGTAGTGATTGTGAATGGGAGTTCACTCATGATTTGGCTCTTTGTCTATTGTTGGTACAAAGGAAGGCTTGTGATTTTTGCACATTGATTTTGTATCCTGAGACTTTGCTGAAGTTGGTTATCAGTTCAATAAGTTTTTGGGCTGAGGTGATGAAGTTTTATAAATATAAAATCATGTAATCTGCAAACAGAGATAACTTGACTTCCTCTCTTCCTACTTGAATACCCTTTATTTCTTTCTCTTGCCTGATTGCCCTGGACAGAACTTCTAATACTATTTGAATAAGAGTGATGAGAGAGGGCCTCCTCGTCTTGTGCTGGTTTTCAGATGGAATGCTTCCAGCTTTTGCTCATTCAATATGATATTGGCTGTGGGTTTGTCGTAAATAGCTCATTATTTTGAGATATGTTCCTTCAATACCTAGTTTATTGAGAGTGTTTAACAATCAATGTTCATCAGGAATATTGGCCTGAAGTTTTCTTTTATTGTTGTGTCTCTTCCTGGTTTTGGTATCAGAATGATGCTGGCTTAATAAAATGAGTTAGGGAGGAGTCCCTCCTTTTCAATTGTTTGGAATAGTTTCAGAAGGAATGGTACCAGTGCCTGTTTGTATTTCTGGTAGAATTCAGCTGTGAATCCGTCTGGTCCTGGGCTTTTTTTGGTTGATAGGCTATTAATTACTGCCTCAATTTCAGAGCTGTTATTGTTCCATTCAGGGATTCAATTTCTCCCTGGTTTAGTCTTGGTAGGGTATATGCATCCAGGAATCTATCCAGTTATTTTAGATTTTCTAGTTTATTTGCATAGAGGTGTTTATAGTATTCTCTGATCGTAGTTTGTATTTCTTTGAGGTCATTTTTTATTGTGTCTTTGATTCTTCTCTCTCTTTTTCTTTATTAGTCTAGCTAGCAGTCTATTTTGTTAATTTTTTTCAAAAAACAGCTCCTGGATTTGTTGATTTTTTTCGGACCATTTTTCATCTATCTCCTTAAATTCTTCTCCGATGTTAGTTATTTCTTGTCTTCTGCTAGCTTTTGGATTAGTTTGCTCTTGCCTCTATAGCTCTTATAATTGCACTGTTGGGGTGTCTATCTGACATCTTTCTAACTTTCTGATGTGGGCATTTAGTGCTATAAATGTCCCTCTTAACACTGCTTTAGCTGTGTCTCAGAGATTCTGATACGTTGTCTCTTTGTTCTCATTAGTTTCAAAGAACTTCTTGATTTCTGCCTTAATTTCATTATTTACCCAGGAGTCATTCAGGAGCAGGTTGTTCAATTTCCATGAGATTGTGTGGTTTTGAGTGAGTTTCTTAATCCCAAGTTCTAATTTGATTGCACTGTGGTCTGGAGAGACTGTTATGATTTCAGTTCTTTTGCATTTGCTGAGGAGTGTTTTACTTCCAATTACGTGGCTGATTTCATAATAGTTGCCATGTGGCACTGAGAAGAATGTATATTCTGTTGATTGGGGGTAGAGAGTTCTGTAGATGTCTACTAGTTCCATTTGATCTAGAGCTGAGTTCAAGTCCTGAATATCCTTGAGAACTTTCTGTCTTGTTGATCTGTCTAACACTGACAGTGGGGTGCTAAAGTTTCCCACTATTGTTGTGTGGGAGTCTAAGTCTCCTTGTAGGTCTCTAAGAACTTGTTTTGTGAATCTGGATACTCCTTTATTGGGTGCGTATATATTCAGAATAGTTAACTCTTCTTGTCGAATTGATCCCTTTACCATTATGTAATGCTCTTCTTTGCCATTTTTGATCTTTGTTGGCTTAAAGTCTGTTTTGTCAGAGATTAGGATTGCAACCCCTGCTTTTTTTTTTTGCTTTCCATTTGCTTGGTAAATATTCCTCCATCCCTTTATTTTGAGCCTACATGTGTCTTTGCATGTAAGATGGGTCTCCTGAATACAGCACACTGATGGGTCTTGACTCCTTATCCAATTTGCCAGTCTGTGTCTGTTAATTGGGGGCATTTAGCCCATTTACATTTAAGGTTAGTATTGTTATGTATGAATTTGATCCTGTCATCATGATACTATTTGGTTATTTTCCACACTAGTTGATGCAGATTCTTCATAGTGTCATTGGTCTTTATATTTTGGTGTGTTTTTGCAGTGGCTGGTACCAGTTTTTCCTTTCCATATTTAGTGCTTCTTTCAGGAGCTCTTACAGGGCAGGCCTGGTGGTAATGAAATCCCTCAGCATTTTCTTGTCTGGAAAGGATTTTATTTCTCCTTCACTTATGAAGCTTAGTTTGGCTGGATATGAAATTCTGGATTGAAAATTCCTTTCTTTAAGAATGTTGAATATTGACTCCCAGTCTCTTCTGGCGTGTAGGGTTTCTGCTGGAGGTCTGCTGTTAGTCTGATGGGCTTCCCTTTGTAGGTGACTTGGCCTTTCTGTCTGGCTGCCCTTAACGTTTTTTTCTTCATTTCAACCTTGGAGAATCTGATGATTATGTGTCTTGGGGTTGATCTTCTCATGGAGCATCTTAATGGTGTTCTCTGTATTTCCTGAATTCCTAGCATGTTGGCCTGTCTTGCTAGGTTGCAGAAGTTCTCCTGGATAATATCCTGCAGTGTGTTTTCCAGCTTGTTTCCATTCTTCCTGTCTCCTTCTGGTACTCCAATCAATCGTAGGTTTAATCTTTTTATGAAGTCCCACATTTCTTGGAGGCTTTGTTCATTCCTTTTCATTCTTTTTTCTCTATTGCCTTATGTAAGGTCTGTATGCCTTATTTCAGTAACGTGATCTTCAAACTCTGATATCCTCTCTTCCACTTGGTCAATTAAGCTATTGATACTTGTGTATGCTTCATGAAGTTCTCGTGCTGTGTTTTTCAGCTCTGTCAGGTTATGTTCCTTTATAAATAGTTATTCTAGTTAGCAATTCCTCTAACCTTTTATCAAGGTTCTTAGCTTCTTTGCACTGGGTTAGAACATGCTCCTTTAGCTCATCGTAGTTTTTTGTTACCCATCTTCTGAAGCTTACTTCTGTCAATTTGTCCACCTGATCCTCCATCCAGTTCTGCACGCTGACTTGTGATCATTTGGAGAAGATAAGACCCTCTGGCCTTTTGGGTTTTCAGCATTTTTTTTCATTGATTCTTTCTCATCTTTGTGAGTTTGTCTAATTTTGGTCTTTGAGGCTGCTGACCCTTGGATGGGGTTTCTGTGGGGGCCATTTTTGTTGTTGTTTATGCTGTTGTCACTTTCTGCTTTTTTTTTTTTTCAATAATCCGGTCCCTCTTCTGTTGGGGTGCTGCAGTTTGCTGGGGGTTCACTTCAGGCCCTATTCATCTGACTCACTCCTGTGCCTGGAGATGTCACTCAGGGAGGCTGGAGAACAGCCAAGATGGGTGCCTGTTCCTTCTTCTGGGACCTCTGACCTTGAGGGGCACCAACCTGTTGCCAGTAGGGTGTCTGTGTACAGGGTGTGTGACAACCCCTGTTGGAGGGTCTCACCGAGTTGGGTTGCACGAGGAGCAGGTTTCATGCTTGTCCGTGTGAAGAGACCACCAAACAGGTTTTGTGTGAGCAATAAAGCTGTTTATTTCATCTGGATGCAGGTGGGCTGAGTCCGAAAAGAGAGTCATTGAAGGGAGATAGGGGTGGGGCCATTTTATAGGATTTGGGTGGATAAAGGAAAATTACAGTCAAAGGGGGGTTGTTCTCTGGCGGGCAGACTGGAGGTCACAAGGTGCTCAGTAGGGGAGCTTTTGAGCCAGGATGAGCCAGGAGAAGGAATTTCACAAGACAATGTCATCAGTTAAGGCAGGAACAGGCCATTTTCACTTCTTTTGTGGTGAAATGTCATCAGTTAAGGCAGGAACCGGCCATGTGGATGTGTACGTGCAGGTCACAGGGGATATGATGGCTTAGCTTGGGCTCAGAGGCCTGACAGCAGGCCCCGTTTAATGAAGCACTTTGTCCCTTGGTGGAGAGGGTGTGTTTCACTGCAGGGAAGCACATGTGTCTGGGCTGCCTGGGTTCCTCAGAACTCCCAGGAGGAGAGGCTAAGTCTGCTGGTCCAGAGACTGTGGCCACCCTGCAGCTAGGGGCTCAGGCCTAGGGAGTTCTGGGGTCTGTCCCTGAGCTTCTGGCTGGAGTTATTGGAGTTCTTGCAGGGAAGCCACCCACTGAGGAAGGATGGGTCAGGGTCGAGCCTGAAGAGCACTCTGGACACAGACGGCCACAGGGTGTGTTGCGCTGTGCAGACAAGTCTTGGGACCAAGCCATTCAGCTTCCCTGGCTCCAGTAGGGGAAGAGCGCAGCCTGGAGCTATAGAAATGGGTGCCGGGGAGTTTAGCATGTTAGGCCATTGTGAGCCCCAGTGCTGGCTGCTGCCCCTCCCCAGGGAGTTAAAACAGCTTAGACAGCAGGCCGCTGCAGCCAGTGCTGGTCACCCCTCCCCCCAGGAGTTCTGTAGGCTTAAGCAGATTCCATCAGAGAGGCTGTAAGAATCTTCACGTTCCGGGGCTGGAACTGTAGGCCCCAGTGGCGTGAGTTTGCAAGTGGGATCTTCTGATCCGTGGGTTGCACGGTTTTGTGGGAAAAGCAAAGTTTCCCCCGCTGGGTAGTGTGCTCACTCACCGCCTCCCTTGGCTGGGGGAAGGGACTCCCCTTCCCCGTGTGTTTCTCGGGTGGCCCCCTCACCACACTGCTCTTCCTCCTCTCTGTGGGTCACGCCAGCCTTCTAGTGAAGTTTGATGAGAGAACCTGGATACCTTGGCTGCCGGTGAAGGATTCACATGCTTATTTTGTTTTTTTCCGATGGGAGCCTCCAAACGGCTCTGCTTCTAGTCAGCCATCTCGGCCAGAATAATCATCCTTGGGCGTTTAGTTTCTGATACAGACATTAAGAAAAGCCGTCTAGGATGAGCCATGCACGTGCACGCGCATGGCAGAGCGTGGTTTGCTGCAGGACTTTTCAGAGCGTTTGTGACCACTTGTCGTTGCAGGCGCCTGGATGAGTGTTTATTCTGTGATTCTTTGACTTCCTTGACCATGGAACGTTTTTTTTCCCCATGGGAATATAGTTCGGGAATTGCCTCTCCAGCCTGATGGAAGGTTGGGGATGTGCGCTGTCTTCCCTTCTGGTTCTCGTTCTTATTCCTCTGCTCCGCCTTGCCAGGATGGCCCTTCTCTTCTGGGTCTCGATGGCGCCTCCTCCTCCCTTCCCTCCTCCCCTTCCCTCTGCGGCTGCGTAATTCCTCCTTGCGCTTTCTTGATTCTACCCCAGGAGCCTCACAGTGGGGACTTGCAGGTTTGCCCTCACCCACCCGGTGCCACCAGCAGAGCCACCTGTCCAGATGCAGATTCAATGTTGTCCTATCACAGATCCCCTTGGCAGAGTGTGGCTGGGATCTGCTTCCTGTGTGTCTCCGGCCTCAGCCCCCTGTCCTTTGCAAACCTCCCCTCTGTGCCCAAGCCACCCTGGGGCGTTTCCCGACCCCCCTAAACTCTAGGGCATGACAACCCTGTTGCATGGGATGTTCTTGGCACCCCAGCTGGGAGATCCTCGCTGTGTGACCTTCCCGCCCACCCGGCTGTGCCCCTTACTGGCTCCCCCTTGTCCTCACTGCCCCCAGGACCTGGGTCAGTGCTATTGGGTTTGCAGGGCTGTGTCCCTGATTCCCTCCCCTCATCCCTTCATGGTGGGCAGGGTGTGGCATCCTCTTCTGGCTCCCCCTCCCTTGGGGGGTGCTTTTCAGAGGCTGTGAGGAATTCGGGGTAAATAAGGCACCCCCCCCCCAGTTGCCAAGGCCAAGGATGTGGGCTTCCAGGCCACAGGTGTGATTGAGGGCATGGCTGAAGGTGAAAGGCGACAAGGACCCGTGTGGCGACCAGGACCAGGCGTGTGCATGTCAGGAAGGGTATTTTATTTCATCTTAATTTTGAGAAATGCTCAGGATTTCAATAGAAAAGCAGAAGAAAGGCCAGGGGTGGGGGCTGAGAAACAGCAGAGGCCCAAAAGGTCAGGCTGTGGAGAATGTGAGTGGTACAGCCCTGGTGAGGTGTACACATGGCAGACGAGGGGATGCGCTCTCCCTGCGGTCGGAAGCTGTTCTCTTGGGGTTCAGGTGATGCCAGGTGGCACCTTCCCTGCACCCGTGTGTGCGTGGGCAGCTGCTGGGCCACAGGATGGGAGCCTCGCCTGGGGAGGGCTGATCGCAGGACTGTTCCATCTCAGAGAGCGTGAGGCCGGCCTCGAGAGCCTCCGGGATTCAGAAGGTGGCTGGTTCTGGGAGTAGAGGATGGGTGGTGTGGACAGGAAGATCTAATTTAAATGATAAATAGGACCCTTGAGAAAGAAGAATCCCATGACAAAGAGACAAAGAGAATTCTAAAAGACACTGTGGAGTGCAAAGCACGCCAGGATCCCAGCCAGCCCAGGACGGGGAGGGCCTGGGAGAGATTCTCACTGCCTGGGGATACAAAGCCTGCATCCCAGCCAGCCGAGGAGGGGGAGGACCTTGGGAGAGCTTCCACTGCTGCAGGGAAGCCGGGCTAGTGACTGGGGCCGCATCCACAGGTGTCTGGGGGCTGCGCCACACAGAGCATGGAGGTGATGCTTTCCTGTAACACTGCACGTAAGTGTGCATGAGTCAGTGCCGAGAAAGCCCCTTTTGCCCCTTAGGATGGCCACTGTCAAAACCGCAGATAATAGCAAGTGTTGGGAGGATGTGGAGGAATTGGGTCCTGGGTGTTGCTGCTGGGAATGGAAGATGGGGCAGATGCTGTGGAAAATGGTGTATGGAGATTCATCAAAAACTCGAGACGGAACCACCTTGTGACCCAGCCGTTCCCCTCCTGAGTTGATCCAAATGATAGACAGCGGGGTCTCGGGGCAGCCCCTGCACACCCAGGCTCATAGCGGCTTGTGCACAGCAGCCAGAGGTGGCAGCAGCTAGCGTGTCCGTCCATGGATGGGAGGATGGGTGAAGAGCGGCCCATCCACACAGCCGAACATGAGTCAGCCTCAAAGAGGAACGAAATCCCGACGAGGCTATGGGGTGGATGAACCCTGGGGACACTATGCTGAGTGGAATAAGCCAGTCACAGAAAGACCTTGCTGTGTGACTCCACTCATACAATGCCCCTGGGGCTGCAGATTCATAGAGGCAGAAAGTAGAATGGGGGGTGCCAGGGGCTGGGGAGGGGGCGTGGGAGGACAACACAGCTAGATGGAGAAAGCAAATGTGTGGTTAAAGAAAATGGAGGGTTTAGCTGCGTGGCTTCCCTGGGTAGGTCAGCTCCCTGGTCTGTTCCCTGTGCTGGAAGCACAGTTCCGTTTCTGCTGCAGAACAGAGAGGCGGGGGAGACCGGGAACCACCAGGCGGGGCAGAGGGATGGGTAGGAGAGGCCGAGCCAGGCAGGCCATGCTCCAGCAGTAGCAGCAACATCTCAGGTTTAGGAGGGAATTTAGGGTTTTTCCTGCTGCAGCTTCTTAGTCCTACAGAAATGTTAGATGAATGCAGTTTCTAAGCATCCCTAGCCAGCCAGGGCATGGACAGGTCCCCACCCCCAACCCACCCCCATGGAATCCCGTGCCTCCTGGTCTGCATCCTGCCTCTGGGATTGGTCTGTGGTTGTGCAAACAATGGTTGGTTCCAGGATCAAGCTCTGGACTCACAGAAGTACTTTGCACGTCCAGAGGAAAGCCCGGGGCTAAAGAGGCTGCCTTTGCCTTTTACAAGATGACCTGAAGTGAGACACCCTTGCCTGCAAGTTCGGAAGTGGAACCGAGGGCAGGCTGGTTCCTGCTGAGCCGCGTGCAACGTGGGGCAGAAGTGGAACCGAGGGCAGGCCGGATCCTGCAGAGTGGCATGCGATGTGGGGTCATGGGAGAGTCCTGCCCTCCAGAGTCACTTTCCCTTTGGGTAAAATGATGACGTTTTGCAGAATGTCCGACAGCTAGGAAGGCAGGCACGGTGGAAGACCCTGAACTGCTGGGTGCCTTTTGACCCTGCCAGGATGACCAATTCGATGAGGCTGCCCTGTGATTCATCTAACTTACGTGTCGTATCTAATTTCTCACATTGCAAATCCATTCAATTAGATTTAATTAGGCAGATGGAGCAAATATGCACCCTTGTCTGCAGCAGATAGGCAGGAAACCTGTCCCATGAAGGGGAGGGTGGGGTTAGAGCCCAGTCCTGCGGTCTTGGATGAAGCTGCCCTTCCATCCAGTGTGGCCCTGGGGCCGCCCCTCAGCCCGGAAGCTGTCAGGAGGGTCTTTCTGCAGTGAGGGAAGTCCGTTAGGCATGCTGTGGTTTCATGACAGCATCCAGCGGCCCTCCTGCCTGCAGGTCTATCCAGGACTCTGTTAACCGTCGTTCTTTTGGAAAATGTTTGCAGAGCACCAGCCCTGCCAGGTGCTGTCCTAGGCTCTGGACATGGGGGTCTCCAAGGTGTGTCCTGACAGAACGAGACCCCCTTCGGCCAGCAGCATGGGGCCCGAGCCCCTCCTCTTGCTGTGACAATGCGGATGTGGTTGTCTCGGAGTGCAGAGGTTCCCATGGTTACTGTTGAAGCATTGGGAGGTTCGGCGTCTCCGAGTAGCTCAGCCTTCTCTCCTTGGCTGTCGGCCCGAGGCTTCGAGGTCACCCAGGCCGTGTGGCTCAGGCTTCAGGCCCCTCTTGCTCTTCCCTTCTGGCAGGCAGGGGCTTCTTCCCCTCGTGCGTGAGACGTCCTTGTGGGAAGGGCCCTCTCGGAGCAGTGTGCGTCTCCCTCTCCCATGGCCACTGCAATGTTTCTGCTGTTGGAGGCTCAGTCAGCTGAGCCCTTGGGTGGGAGACGCCCCCAGAGCAGCCTCCCTGCAGCCTGAGGTGGACACGGAATGAGTGATCTTTGTGGCTTCCAGCCCTTAGACTTGGAGGTTGTCACTCCAGCACGGTCGAGACATCTCTGTGTTACAGAGACTGGTGTGACAGGGACAGGGCTGCCCTCCCCTCTGATGCGTTCACAGCAGCCAAGATGCTGAATCTACCTGCGTGCCCAGGAGTGATGTGTGGGTGAAGAGAATGTGGCATGTACACAATGGAATACTATTTAGCCTTAAAAAAGAATGAAATCCTGTCATTTGTGGAAACATGGATGGAGCTGGGGGACACCGTGACAAATAAGCCAGGTGCAGAAAGACAAGCACAGCTGATCTCACTCACGTGGGAATCTATGACAAGGCAAATGTATGGAGGCGGAGCAGGGGTGTGGTGGGGAGAGCAGAGTGACAGCTGGCAGGGGTGGGGTGGGGAGAGTGGAGTGGCGGCTGGCAGGGGCGGGGTGGGGAAAGTGGAGCGGTGGATGGCAGGGGTGGCATGGGAAGAGCAGAGTGGTGGCTGGCAGGGCAGGGTGGGGAGAGCGGAGTGGTGACTGGCAGGGGTAGTGGCTGGCAGGGGCGGGGTGGGGACAGCAGAGTGGTGGCTGGCAGGGGTGGGGTGGGGAGAACAGAGTGGAGGCTGGCAGGGGCGGGGTGGGGAGAGCGGAGTGGTGACTGGCAGGGGTAGCGGCCGGCAGGGGCGGGGTGGGGGGAGTGGAGTGGCGGTTGGCAGGGGCGGGGTGGGGAAAGTGGGGTGGCGGATGGCAGGGGTGGCATGGGAAGAGCAGAGTGGTGGCTGGCAGGGCAGGGTGGGGGAGTGGGGTGGTGGCTGGCAGGGCTGGGGTGGGTGTGGGGAGTCAGCTGGGTGGGCTGGTGGGCTCTGGAGGCTACACAGTATAGTGACTGCAGTTAATAATAACACAGAGCTGCATATTTCAGAACAGCCAGAAGAGGGGATTTAAAATGTTCTCACCACAAAGAAATGGTAAATCCTTGAGGTGATGGATATGCTAATTAGCTCAATTTGGTCATTCCACAATGTATGCAGGACGGATACATCATATCGGACTCCATAAGTATACACAGTCATTATATGTCAACTAAAAATAAAACTTAAAATTATGGATGTGTATAATGTAATAGCTGTTGCAGTTGCAGTGTTGTTTTATCTGCAGCATCCCCCGTGCTGAGACACAGCAGCTCTTTCCACCTCTGTTTCCGGGGAGCAGGGGGCTGTCGGTCTCTGGACGCTGCCCGTCCCCCCTTCTGAGACCACACGCTTGGCGCTGATGAGGAGCAGGAAGGGTTTGTGTAACCAGAGCTTGAGAGGAGGCTGGAAGTGGTAGCTAGAGCCACATTGCATGGGGCCTTCAGGCCCTTTAACGATGAAATGTTTGGGGCCATTGCAGTGGGTTTTGAGCAGAATAATGCAGTGTGACTTAGGGTTCACGAGGTTTATGAGAGCCCTTTCGGTGGTGGTGTGAAGGAGGGTTATGGGACAGGAGGCTGCTGAACCAGTCAGGCTGCGGGAGGATGGTTGCTGTCCAGGTCGGTGTGGGGCAGTGGTGAGAGGTGTCAATCCCCAGGGTTTGTTGGATGGGGATGATAGTGGCTAGGTAGGTGTGGGGCAGTGGTGAGAGGTGTCAATCCCCAGGGTTTGTTGGATGGGGATGATAGTGGCTAGGTAGGTGTGGGGCAGTGGTGAGAGGTGTCAATCCCCAGGGTTTGTTGGATGGGGATGATAGTGGCTAGGTAGGTGTGGGGCAGTGGTGAGAGGTGTCAATCCCCAGGGTTTGTTGGATGGGGATGATAGTGGCTAGGTAGGTGTGGGGCAGTGGTGAGAGGTGTCAATCCCCAGGGTTTGTTGGATGGGGATGATAGTGGCTAGGTAGGTGTGGGGCAGTGGTGAGAGGTGTCAATCCCCAGGGTTTGTTGGATGGGGATGATAGTGGCTAGGTAGGTGTGGGGCAGTGGTGAGAGGTGTCAATCCCCAGGGTTTGTTGGATGGGGATGATAGTGGCTAGGTAGGTGTGGGGCAGTGGTGAGAGGTGTCAATCTCCAGGGTTTGTTGGATGGGGATAATGGATGGGATGCAGGTTTGGAGGAGAGGATGTAGGGTTTTGTGCAGGACCTGGCCGGGGAGTGGAATGGTGGTACCATTGCCAGTTCCACCTGGCACCCTGAGCTGCCGGGATGGTGTGACACCAGGGCGGGGGGGCTGGGTGGTGGGGAGATGATGTATTTGGGGAAGTCACACTAATTTTGGGGTACCCATCCGACATCTAAATGGTGCCATGGACTGAACATGTCCCCCCAAATTCCTATGTTGAAGCCTTGGTCCCCAGTGGGATGGTGCTTGGAGGGTGGGGCCCTGGGGGGCGATGACGGCGAGGTGTAGTCACGAGGGTGGGGCCCCCATGTTGGTATTCGTGCCCTTGTAGGAAGAGGAAGAGACCAAGTACTGTCTTCTATGGGAGGGCATGGCAGGAAGGCACCATCTGAGCCCGGAAGTGGGTCCTCACCAGACACTGCCGTCACCTCCGCGCTGGACCTGCAGCCTCCAGAACTGTGAGAAATGAATTCTGCTGTTCATTTATGGGCCCCCCAGTCTGTGGCTTTTGTTTTATCAGCCCCAGCTGACTAAGACAAGTGGTGTCTCTTAATGAATTGATGAATTCTTTGTGTTTTGAAGAGTCTTCATGGATGGTACTTCAGCCCGAGGAGATGCGTGTGCTTTGTAAGAGATTTGAGGGGTGAAGTCGCCCCAAGTTTTACATCTGTAACAGGCTTTGAATGACTGTTCTTGCCTCAGTGCCACCAGAGTCAGTGGCGCAAGGGAGAATCATCGGAGGAAACCCCCTCACTGGTGTGGAATCGGAGCCCCCTTCCTGCGCTTGGAGTGGGGGTTCAGCAGCAGGTCTCTGTTCACTGTGACAAACGCTGATGTTTCATGGAGATGCTGGAATCTCGTGTAAAACATGATCGTGGCCTCGCACTCAATCCCTTATTTCACAGGTGTTTGTCACCAAGCAACCCTGGTCCTGCCAGGCCATGTTGAGGCTCCCTTCTTTCTCCAAACCCTGTTTGCTCTAGTCTGGGTTTGCTGGATGCATGTTTTAAATAAGAAGGTGAACACCACGATTGTGCCGATGTATCTGCATTGTAACTGGAAAGCTTTAGGAAGGCCTGGGAGGACTTCAACTCCAGATGAATTTCACGGTCATTTTACATTTTTTCTTAAGGACATTTCAGCGATGCTTCCTCACAGTTGTAAAAATTGTTGTGCAGACTAGCTGGACGTTATTTTACATGAGTCTGTTTTAATCTCATCTAATAAACATGGGCGCCCGGTAAGAAGCCGAGGAGTCACGGGGGTGTGTGCGAGCGCGAAGGGCTGCGTCTCACTCCCAAGACCCGGCACCCCCTGCATCTTCTGTTCCCTCTGCCGCCCCTTCCCTGCCCCGGCAGCCGCTCTCCTCCCGCCCCTCCCCCTCCCCACGGGCTCACAGGGCTGCATCCTGAGTTTCGGGTGAGCCAGAAGCGAGCACCGCAGATGCTCTTCTGTTCAACGGCTTTTCCTTATGACACTGATGAGGAAAACATTGATCCCAGCTGGGGTGCTCTCCGTGCGGGGTTGGCTCCTTCCCCCAGGGCTGTGAGTTTCTCTGGGGACCAGGCTTCCTCCCACATCCCAAAGCCCTGCACGTGCAGCGAGTTGCTGTGTTCCCTCCGTTGCTGTCTCAGTGCCTGTGGTGACCTCCATCCAGGCCTGGATCCTGCCTGGCACCCTGAGCTGCTGGAGTGAGCTCCCGCCACGTGTGACCCTGACCTGCAGTAAGTGGGTTGGAAAATGAATGAATGAATGAATATAAATTTTTGTAAAAACATGTATCAGGTCTACGATACCCGTACAAGTGGGCAGTAAACCGTACAGCAGGAAAGCGCTCAGTCAGCCGCTGAGGGCTGTTCTTGTCTGTGACCTGTGTGGGGGCAGAAGTGCTCCCCATGGTGTTTGCTTTGGAAATGTTTATCCCATGACTTAACCCACTGTGGCCAGGGCTGTAGCCTCCTGCTTGGGTGAGGTCTGGCGACTTCACCCAAGAGGCCTTGGGGTGACTTCACTCCCCAAATCTCTTACAAAGCACACGCATCTCCTCGGGCTGAAGTGCACCCTGGCGTGGTCCCTGGAAGGCGGTCATTGGCCGGGGCAGCGATGTTTGGTGTGCGAGCTTTGCACTTACTGAGACGCTTCATCCGCAGGGCACACATCCAAAGCCCATGCAGCGTCTGGTTCCCTCTCATCCATTTCTCTAGTCACGGAGACATGATTGGGGGTGCTGTGTGCAGGGAAGGGGCCTGGAGAAGCCGCAGGTTTGGACGTGGATTTTGAGGCGCCTGCCTTTTGGGACTCCGCGTGCTTCCAGCCCCTGCAGCTCATTGCTGGGTCCTCACTCAGATGCCTCTGTGGGGACCTCTGGTCCTGCATTCCCAGCTCTAAGAAGGCCCTCCATCTGCTCTTTATCTCACAAAGCACGTGGAAGCTGTTGCTTTGTGCTCACCGTTCTTCTGGTGCTTGTGAGTTTTTGCCTTGGTCACTCTCCCGTGTAAAATGGAGTTTCAGCTGCAGCTTTGAAGGGGGTTAATGGAGTGGATATCCCTGTTCACTGGAGGGTGAGCCCTGCGCATCAGAGAATGTTTCTTGCACCAGCAGCGCCGACAGTTCCTGGGAGCTTGACGGACAAACAGACTCTTGGGCCCTGCCCCAGAACTCCTGCGTGGGTCCAGCAGAAGGTGTTTAACAAGCCCCCCAGGCGGTTCTGACGCCAGTGGAAGTGTGAAGACCTCTGACTCATAGATAACAACCGTTGACTGATGGCAGCTCATCCCAGTGCTGGTGAGATCCAGCGGAACAGCAGCCTGATGTCTTCACGCCACTGACGCCGCATCTCCAGCCCCTGGATGGTTCCTCTCTCCAACCTGCTCCCATAGTGCGTTCCACATGGGACTCCTTCAGTCCTCAGCTGCCCTACGAGCTGTGGTTTTGCCTGAACACGGAAGGTGCAGCACAGCCTGTGAGCCATTGGCCAAAGGTGGCCTTCCCGTGGTGGCAGAGCTGAGACGTCCCCTGAGCAGCCTATCTGATGCCTGCACCTGCCTTCCCTGGGCCACGCTGCTGAGAAGGGCCTCAGTGGTGAGTGTGACTCCTTAGAGCTGGCAAGACCCAGGATACCGGCCCTGCATGCAGAGGCATGGGTGTTACACGGGGTACATGACTGGCCTGCGAGAGGCAGAGGGGAGTTCTGGTCCTGGCCTCTCTGGCTGTGTGTGTGGTGGCAGGCACCTCATCTCTTAATTACTTTTAATGCCATAGAAGGGAGGCCAGAGATAGAAGACATTATCAAACAAATATGGAAATCATTAAGTCCTGGCATCACAAACATTAAAATGCTATACATCTCATCTCATAGCTTGTAATGCCACATATTCTAGAAACAAACCTAAGGCAGTTTCTTCTAGGTTGAATTAGCTGGAAAGAATTAATTGAGTATATATTAATGTTCTTGACACTCTAAAGCGTGTATTCACATCTCAGGCTCATGTGGCTGGAGAAGCACATTCAGTGGCGTGGTGTAACTGCACGTATTTCACAGACACACCACTTATTTGTTATGTGAACTGCAGAGGGTGAGACTGTGGGACGCCCCGTGGGACATGCACCCTCCCTCCCGAGGCCAGCGGGAACAGCGAGAATCACCATCCCAGAAGGCAGAAGACATGGAGGATGGGTGACCGAAGAGAAAGCAGAATATGTCTTTAAGACCTTTGTGTTTGGAAATAACTTCACATGTAAAAGTTGTAAAAATAAAGGAGGACAGAGGGCACTGGGTGGATGGTGGGCGGCCTCCTCTTCACGGCGTCGCTCCTGGGTGGACGGTGGTGCCCTGCTCTTCACGGCGTCGCTCCCGGGCAGACAGTGGGTGCCCTCCTCTTCACGGGGTCGCTCCCGGGCGGACGGTGGGCGCCCTGCTCTTCAGGGCATTGCTCCCAGGCGGACGGTCGGCGCCATCCTGTTCACGGCGTCGCTCCCGGGCGGACGGTGGGCGCCCTCCTCTTCACGGTGTCGCTCCCGGGTGGACGGTGGGCGCCCTCCTCTTCACGGGGTTGCTCCCGGGCGGATGGTGGGCGCCCTCCTCTTCACGGTGTTGCTCCTGGAGCTCCGAGGCCCACATCCTCTCACTCCTGGTGTTCATTTTGGTTACACCTTGGAGGTGGTGGTCTTGCCGGCATATAATTACTATTCTTTGTCTCCCCTTGCAGCAAATATGCAGTGTGTGGGGAATAGTTTTAAACCACATGGTACCTTGTTCCCCATCAGAATTTCCCCCGGTTCAGCACCCATGGATGGCTCCTGCCCCATCCCATGTTTATGAGGCTACACGTAAACTGGAAGGGAGGAGCTGGCGTTAAATCCATCACCAGGAGGCGGCTGCAGCCCGAAAGGAGCATTTGTAGAGAGAAATTCCGGGGAGGTTAACAGCAGGATGGCAGGAGCTGAGATATTCACTGAAGGATTGGAATGTGAAGGCAAGAGAATGTCCCAGGAAGTAGAACAAAAACACAGAGAAACAGAAAACAGAAATGAGATGTTAAAAGAAAATGGGCTCCGTAGGTCCGACAGCTGAATAATAGAAGTTCCAGGAGAAGAGAACAGAGAAGAAGTATTTTGAACTTCCAAAAGTGGAAGGATATGAGTTTTTATTGTCAAAACTATATTACATAGTTTTAAAAGACAAGTCGGGGTAGGTTGGGTGTAGTGGCTCATGCCTGAAATCCCAGCACTTTAGGAGGCTGAGGCAGGAAGATTGCATGAGGCCAAGAGTTTGTGACCAGCCGGTAAAGACCCCATATCTTTAAAAAAAATTGTTTTTTAATTAGCTGGGCATGATGTTGTGTACCTGCAGTCCCAGCTACTCAGGAGGCTGATGTAGGAGGATTGCTTGAGCTGAGCCCAGGAGGTTGAGGCTGCAGTGAGCTATGATCGCACCATTGCACTCCAGCCTGGGCAACAGAGCAAGACCCTGTCTCATACAAAAAGTAGGTCCAAAGGCTTAAACAGTAATGCAGTCCTCCACTGCACAAATCCATCTATTTCTCTATTATTTGAATTTCTTCCAAAGAAAGTTAACAGGTGAATCTCTTTATTGATAAAAAGTAAAGTGTTTATCTGCTAAGAAACAAAGCAAGTGTGGAAACACCTTTTGGTTGGTAGAGAGGATTGACCCTTGAGTGTGAGGGGCAGAGGCAGGGGCGCAGGCGGAACATCCAGAGAGGAGCGAGACGTTAAATGATCACGGTGAGATGTGTATTCTGAGGGCTTGAGAAATGCCGGGTAGGGGTTCAGAGGAGAGCAGTATGTAAGCATGTGGAGTAAAGTTGTGCAGGGAGGGTTTGGACCGGAAGTTGAAACTGTTTGATCAGTGGAGAGGGAGATCCAGCAAGAACAGCCTCGATGGCAGCACGGGGCGTCCCCATTGCCCCATTGCTGTGGCAGCGTCGTTCTCCTGACGCTTGAGCTTGAACCCTCCCAGGCTCATCAACAAGCATCTCGTACGTTGCCAGCCATTTAATACTTGCCCTGTAACATTGTTGCTCCCGTTTGCAGGCTGGGCATGAGATTTCCAGGGCTTCGCTGGACATCTGTGGCTCAGTTTGGATCCTCCGGGATGGGCAGGGAGGAAACTGGCTGGAGGGCAGCGTGGGAGCCGTGCAACCCCCACTGGACCCCACCTGTGAGGTTCTGTGGTCAGGGGAACCCAGGGGGGTTCCAAGCCATGGTCATCGGAACCGAGGAACCCTGGTGGGTCCACCGCAGAGGGATTGCTCAGGAATGTTGCGCCAGAAGCAAGACACAGGCTGGACTGAGGCTGGGGCTAGCAGACTGGGGACAGTGCCCAGGCACAGATCCAAGCCCGGCCGCTCCCCTCCTCGGGCGCCCAGCCACGTTCATTTATTCCTCTCGGGCTCTGATCATTCCTACTGGATAGGAGTCCTCGCTGAGCCCCCATGGTATCTGGCACAGAGCGGACGTGTGTTCTGGGACTGTGTTTTAATTTGTGAGGGGGACACGCGGTCTTGCATTGGCGGGCGCGGGGGCTGGGGGGGCACTCCAAGGGCAGCCGGAGGGTTCATGGAAGGAGTCACGGTGTGCAGTTCGTGCTGGTGGAGAGTGGGGGGTCCAGGCGTGTGCAAGGTTTGAGCCCAGGTAGCCTAGCGTGAGTCACAGAGGCGCTGGGTGCCCTGCGTGAGGGTGACTGAGATACAGCCCCGGCGGCCTTGGGGAGCCGAGAATCACAAGAAAACAGCGGGGCTGGGAAGGAAGAAGAGGGCTGGTGGCACGAGGAGATGGATGCCAGGGGTCGGGGGTGGAAAGTGTTCGGGTGGGCGGGGCAGGGGGAGATGGAAAGTGTGCGGGTGGGCGGGGCCGGGGGGAGATGGAAAGTGTGCGGGTGGGCGGGGCCGGGGGAGGTGGAAAGTGTGCGGGTGGGCGGGGGCGGGGGCGGTGGAAAGTGCAGGTGGGCGGGGCCGGGGGAGGGCTTGAAAGTGTGCGGGTGGGCGGGGCCGCCGGCGTGGAAAGTGTTCGGGTAGGGGGGCGGGGGGGCGGAAAGTGTGTGGGTGGGCAGGGGTGGGTGGGTGGAACGTGTGCGGGTGGGCGGGGGCGGTGGAACGTGGGCAGGTGGGTGGGGGCGGGGGCGGTGGAACGTGTTCGGGTGGGTGGGGGCGGGGGGGCGGAAAGTGTGTGGGTGGGCAGGGGTGGGGGGTGGAAAGAGTGCGGGTGGACGGGGGCGGTGGGGCGGTTTGAGACCAGTGTTGTGGCGCAGCAGGCAAGGGATCCCCAAGCGGCCGTCAGAGTCCCTATGAGTTATCTTGTCGCCTCCATGCTCTTTAATCTCGTTAATGTCAGGACGTTTTTATCCTTTGCTTTCTGGAGGCAGTCACAGGTTGGTTGGGGCCAAAGATTACAAACAAGGATGTTTTATGAAGCTACTCAGCAGGTTGGGGAATAGCTGGGTTTGGCTGTAGGATAAGCGAGTTGTAGGCGTCCTGCCCACTGGTTCAAACATCAGTTCGAGAGCAGGGAGGGGCGGTAGAAATAACTGCAGAGCCCCCCGGGCAGCACCTTTGAAGGCTGTGATGTCAGCTCAATACATGTGCAAGGCCGTGTCCATAAAATCAGCCACAACAGGCCTGTGTATTTTTGTGGCTATGGCTTGTGTAGAGCTAGTAACGACGGTCACCATCTCAGAATACAGCAGCTGCCAGTGTCAGATTACTTCCCATAGGACGTCATCGCGAGGCAGCTTGTTTCTACTGCTGGACCCCTGCTTGGTATGAGTGTTATTCCTCCACTCTGTTCATGGGGCCACTGAGACCAAGAGCTTAGTGACTTGGTGAATGGCACGGCCATGGAGGACGCCAAGCTCTCCCGCCCGCACCCCGGTGATGTTATGGCTGAAACGTGTCTCCCAAAAAGTGTGTGATGGAGCCCAGCGCCTCCAGACATGACCTTATTTGGAAATAGAGTCTTGGGGGAAACCAAGTCGGCACATTTCTGTTAAGTCACCTGACTTACGGTGCTCGTTATGCAGCCGCAGCAGACTGCCGCGTTCCACAGGAACACTTCCCCAGCTCAGACTCACATTCGTCAGGGACCCTCTGTTCCCCTGGAGGGCGGAGCTGCACGGGAGGCATCAGGGAGGGTGAGGAAGAGGCGTGGCCGGGCCTGGGCCTCTGGACGCAGGGGACACACGCGGTCCAGGCCCTGAGTGGACAGAGAGGACGCTGGTGGGGTGTCGGGAACCCTAGCTGGGGCCGAGTTTCTTCAGCTGAAAATCAGTCACGTGTCTGACATCCACTGCATATGACGAGGCCACTGGCCACACGTAGCCTGTGAGCATGTGGTGTGTGGACAGTGTGACCGGGCACCCAGATTTCAGGTTTTAACTGATTTTCATTAATTAAAATTACATTGCTGGCCAGGCGTGATGGCTCATGCCTGTAATCCCAGCACTTTGGGAGGCCGAGGTGGGTGGATTGCTTGAGGTCAGGAATTTGAGACCAGCTTGGCCAATGTGGCAAAACCCAATCTCTACTAAAAATATAAAAATTAGCCAGGCGTGGTGGCAGGTGCCTGTAATCCCAGTGACTAGGGAGGCTGAGGCAGAAGAATCACTTGAACCCAGGAGGTGGAGGTTGCAGTGAGCTGGGATCGCACCACTGCACTCCAGCCTGGGCGATAGAACAAGACTGTCTCAAAAAAATTACATGGCTGCATGTGACGGCCCCAGTGGACGTGTGGTCACTGACCCGGGGGTGCTTCTTCTCCACGTTCTGTGATTCTGCTTTCCTCAGATGAGGAGGGCCCTGCTCAGGCTGATGCCACGGAGGGGTTAGAAATCAGTATTTCGGGAACACATGTCAGTGCTCGCAGCTGGCTGGGTGTGGACAGACACCTCGGGGTGACCGCTGAGTATATTTTGTGGCCCCAGCACCCGTGGCAGGCAGAACTCACGCCTCCTGATCTTTCTCAGCTGCTAAACGCTGCTGTAGAACAGGCAGGTTGTGTGGAATTGAACTTTTAAAAGTGCCTTTGGGCAATAAGGATAATTTCATTCTCCTCTGCGGCCTTCTGTAAATCCTTCAGAGAGGAAGAAATAAACCTATTATGGTCCTGCCTTCCTGCTCCAGCCAGAGCCGGTGCGGCAAGCGACGTGTGCTCAGCCTTCCAGAGGCCGTGGCTGGTCTGGATTTAATGCACTATCCTGCCTGTGACTGTGGCGGGTAGAATGCTGTCAACGTTAGGGGTGAGCGCCTTTTTCGAACACAGATTGTCTGCCTTTAGGAAAGTCACACGTGGATTCTACCCTGGAAGGTTGATGATTTGTCTTGGATCCTCAAGTATAAAGAGCTACCTGGCGGGTTCAAGGAAAGCTCTGTGGGAGCCGCAGGGTGGGCACTGTGTTTGTGGGACCATCCGACGAGATCCCAGGGTGCAGTGAGTGGCTCTGCTGGTCAGTGCTGCTAGGGGCTGTCTCCTGGGGAGAGTGAGAGGCTGGAAGGACCCCAGGGGTCAGGCGTACTTGGCTCCATGAGAATGGACAGTGCACAGCTGCCCCGGGAACCCCATGACTGGCTTGTGGGATCATTCGTCATACCATGCGTCTGAACTGGTGACTCTCAAGCGATTCCCCCCCCACAGCCCTTTTTCAAATCGAACAGAGACGGCATAAAACAGGCCCTGGCAGATGCAATTGTGTCATGCGTGAGGTCTGATTGCCTGAGTCCAGGGATGAGGTCTGAGGTTTGCAGTTCTGTGGAGTGAGGGCCCTGCCTGTCCCTGACCCTAAAGGAGTCCCACAGGCAGGATGTGGGCCTCCCGTGAGCACCTCCAGTGCTCTGGTTCTGTGTATCGTCAGAATCCAGGGTTTGGAGGGGTGGTCACGGGAGCTGCGGCATTTGAGGGGGGCGCCAGCTCCCATGGAGGTGACATTCTGGGCTGGTCCTGCTGTGGCAGACCATAGCTTGGGGTCCCAGCCCCACCCTCCCGCCCCCAAGCACGTGTCCTACTGACCTCACATGCATGTCTTGTGACCTCTCGCGGCCCTTTCCAATACTGTCGCCACTGCACGTGATAGAGACGTGGCTGAGACCATGAAAGGGCAGCGATGGTGATAGAGTCCCATGCTCTGATTTGATTGATTGAGACTTTATTCCCGCTTCTTCAAGACATGTCTGTGGAATGGGGTTGCCTGCACTTGCGTTAGTCTGGAGCTAACCGTCGGTGCTGGGGATGCCGGGGCAGGGCCCCAAGTTCCACTGTGGACGTGCGTGGGGCTTACCTATGGGCAGCCCCTCCTTAGGAGCAGCACCCAGCAGAGCAGCTTGTGATTTCAGCCGGGAGGAGACCGTGAGGGAAGAGATCCCTTAGGTGGTGTCTGCAGCTGACTAGGTCAGCGTTTCCACTCTGGCTGTTAATGGGACGTTGGCACAGAAAAGTATTTTGTGGGCAACTTAGTTTAGGGAAGGATGTGGCGGAGCCTCCCTGTGGAAACGTGTGTCTCTGATCTCCACGTGGGGTGTGGAGGCAGTAGCCTTTTCAGACCTGGTGGATCATTGAATCCCTCCTGAGGGGGTGGGTTCTGAGGCCTGGCCTTGATCCCTGAGGCCCTTTGGAAAGTGCTGGAAAAGGTGAGTGAATGGGCATGGCTGTGGAATGAGACAGAGGGCAGATCTGCGAGGAGCCCTCGAAGGCGTCAAACCCCGGGAGTTGAGTGTGTGTGTGTGTTCTTGCACTGTTGGGCATGGGGGCTAGGAGCTCATCAGGGAAACAGTGTCAGATACGACCCTAGAGGCTCAGACTGCACTGATGAAAAATACCGACAGCTTCCACGTGGCACGGGGCCAGCACCTGACCCCATGGTTATCACAAGGCTTAGCGCCTCCCTGCCCCGACTGTCTCACCGCGGTTTGTTCTCTGCCTCAGCCACACAGGCAGCTCTGTGCACATGAGAAGCATGTGATTGAACTTTTAATTCCACATTTTGCACAGCATTTGCTAGGTACTAAAACTCATTATTGTTTTATTTTCTGTCTCTGTTGATTTGCACAGAGTTGAAAATTGGTGATACTGTCTTGTTTTCAATTGATTATATTTGGGAGAGAATTGTTCTTTTTTCAATATAGAAGAATTGGCGGGGAGAGGGGGGATGGAGGAGAAGGGAGTGGTTATTCCAGATCATCTCTTGTGGTTTCATCCATTGCATTTATGAGAGCCTGCTCTATACTCAGCCAGACTGAAAGTCGATCGAGGGCAAACGTATGACTGGTGTTTCTTTGCAACAGCCTCTAATCACCCTCTCTCCTGGGTAAATTGCCCTAGAACAGGTAATAAGCAGAGACTTGTAGATGCTGTCTTCATGGAGGGTTGAGGAATGGCTGCAAGTTCATCGTGTGGAGTATTTAGGATAAAAGTTCAGCTTTTCCTCTAATTGAGTTTAGAAAAATAATCACACATTTCCCACAGACATCTCTTCAGCTGCACGTTACCGGAGTGTGTGCTTTGCAATTTGTTTTATGTTGCTGAATCTTGGGAAAGCCATTCTCTGTTATTTTCACCTCTCCTTCACTTACCAAATAAGATATTTTCTTCCCATTTTACTACTGAAGTATGAATGTAAATACAGCCCTTACTTTCACATTTTTCTTTGTGATTCACCCTTGATGGAAGCTCAGACTCTGGAAGACCCAGCACAATGTTCCAACAGCCCTCCATTTCCAGGCTCTAATTGCGCCTAATATTTTAAAAGCCATCACAAAAATTGGTGGGTCCATTTACCTTATTGTGGGAGCCCCTGGAGTACAGCTTTCAAGACCCTGATGGCCCATTAGGGGCATCCATTAAACCCGGCTGCATTCCCATTCCAGAAACGGCATAGATGATAATCACACTCACCTGATTAACCTTTTCAATGAAAAATGTGTGTCATCAAGATTTTTCTGTACCGTTTAATTTGTTAGGCCTTTCTGGGCACGCTGACTTTGTGCAACATTGAACTACCTTATTAGAAGAAACACTCGCAACAGTTAATGAGATGCCTTCCTCCACGCGAATGATAACAAATGTATTTTATTTATTTGTTTTAAAACAGGTTTTGCCTGGCATTCTGCAGAAGCATTGCTGTATCTTACCAGACAGGAATACAGGTAAATACATTTCATTCTTCTGATTTGGGATTATATGTTTCGTATCAGTGGCAAAAGTGAGAAATGTGATTACCTAATTTAGATATTTTGTGCATTTTTATTTTGTGGGTTGTTTTTAGTGCAAGATTGCGTATTAACTAACTGTAAGACCTGAAAGTAGGATATTTAGTTCTGTGGTGATTTATGAGCTGAGCCCAGAGATCTGTTTTTATTTGACAGAGGAAATAGTTTTATTAATAGATGATTGTTGTCCTGGGTTTTTAAGGGAAACTGGTTGTCTTATAAACTTGAGTTTGTTGGTTTCAAAGTTGTTTATTTTGCTAATTATACTTATTTACTAAAGAAAATCACCATTCTTATTGGCTAGAGAGAAATGTGTTTGGAATCTGTTTGCAGTCAAGGCCTTTCTTTGTGATCAGGGTGGGAATCGGCTAGATGTTATGTTCTGGAAACCCCCAAGGTCTCAGTGAATAAAACACTGGCATGAATGTTTTGAAGTGGGAGATGCATCTCTGTGTAATTTCTCATGGCAGGATGGGCGTGTGTGGCTGGTGGTTGTGAGGAAGTGTTTTGCCTGACCTTTAAGGAAACATGACGGAGAAAAAGAAGGTCTAAAAAAAACTTCGTTATCATTACAATTAAGGGGAAAAAAGAATCAGTCAGGGCTTGTTATCCTGTGGATATGGATCTGCATTTTTGTTTTCCTCCTGCAAGATTTCTGATTTATTTTTATCAAAGAAATTGCAAGTCCTGAGGAAAGTATGGAGAAGATGCCTCTTTCGTGTGAGGGGCTCTGCAAGCTGATTCATTTCTAAAAGCAATCGTGTGCTGTCAAGTATGTATTTGTGTCCCAGGATGTTTTAGTTGGGTATGAAACAGAGGTTTGCTGACATTTTCTTACTTGTTTTCTAGCTATAACAAGGTAATTACAAAGACTCTTCTATGGTAATTAGAAGAATTTAATTTGTTGGGATTTACTGTTGACTCACCACTAAGAATGATGGTATCTCAGTAGCCAACATTGTCTGTATTATACATTCCAGAGTAAAACACCAGGTGTATTGAGAAAAATACAATCTTTATTAATTACGAGCATGGATGGATGACATTACTGATAGAACTCTTCTTGAGAATGAGGAACTGTCCCTGTTTTGTTTTCTTTTACCCAGTCAAGTGTGTCTCAGCTACGAGTTTGAGCATATCTGCTTACAGGGAAGCTTGTTGAGTGTGTCAGATATTTTTGGGCCTCTTTTTATTTTCTGGAAGTCTTGGTTATGAGTAAAAATGTATGAAAAAGTCACATGTGTAAAAAAGATTTTTGCAACTGTGTCCATCAAAGTCAGCATCACACAATTTTTTAAAAGAAATTAATTTTCCTGATTCAGGTGAATCATTACTCTAAGAAACATCAGGAATAACGATAAAATAAGTTAAAAGCTAACTACTGTACTGCGGACATCACAGTGGGTATTAAGTATGGAAATGAATTTTCCTTGTCTTTTTTTTTTTTGACAGTTTGTTCTGTAAATGGTTTTAAGTTAATTTGGAAAACATTGCCAACTGAAGATGTTTTATTTACTTTTCATGAGACTCCAAGTAATCAATCTGTAGAACCAAGAGAGCTGCCTTCCACTGGGGCCTCAACGCAGAGGACATTAGCCGGGCAATTTCCTCAAAATTATTTTTATAGTATAGAATGTTTCACTGTCATGTCAGCTGTGGAAGACCATAGGCTTTAATATTCGGTGTGGATAAGGGAAGGAGTGGCTCCAGAGAAGAGAGAGGTGTTGGTTGAGATTATAACTCTTAAAAGTGTAAGTCCATGCAGAATGGAAAGATGGGGAGAATTCTAGCTTTTAGCAAATAGTTTGCTCCAGTATGTCCGAAGCTGCTTCATGATTTAGGAGATCTTGTTTGGAAATGTCTTCAGACCTCAACACAGCGGAGGTTCTTGGTGATTACTTTTGCATTTCAGTGGCATATAAAGGTCCTTGTAAGGGCGACTGTAATTTTCTTCTACCTCAATGGTTTTGTGGAAGAGTTTTCGCAGTTTCTCATTAAGGAGATTAACTTTGGAATGGGCACCAAGTTTCCGTTTTGGAAGACGAAACGAGTTCTGCAGATGGAGGGTGGGGACGGCTGCCCGGCCGTGAGAATGTAGCGAATGCTCCAAACTGGGCGCTTAGGCAGCATCACCATGGCGGATTCTGCATTACGGGTGCTTGACCACAATTAGAAAGAAGATTAACTTTGGGATGAATCATCACTTTTTTCTCGTTTGGTTTTTACTTATTTTAGAAATGCTTTATACTCCATTAACTTTATACATGTCATGTTTCTGAATTAAACATGGCTGCTTGTGAAAGATAAATATCCTATCGTTTTCTCTTGCAATTTTGATTATTTGTGATGATTTTAGGCAATGCTGTGAAGCGTCAGAGGGAATTCCGTTGGTTACTTTCCCATACGGTCTTGTTCAGCTGCTTGTTCTCAGAAAAGTGTGTTTGTTGGTGGAGGAGAATGCGACCAAGGAGACCATCCTTTTCATGAAGGCACAAACGTGAATACATATGTGACTTTTAAGCCTTTAAATAAAAACCCAAAGCACATTTATGCCTGTCTTTATTTCTAAGCATTCTTCCCTTTTCTTGCTTTGGTGACCCCTGATTGGCCTTTCACAGGCCTTTGGTTTGCAACCTACCTGGAGTGAGCGTTGAAGCCGAGATACACGGGAAGTTGGAGTGACTCAGGGAAGAGTGGACGTCTCAGGTGTCTGGATTTTTGCAGCTGCCTCTGGCTTGAATCCAGCACCATCTTTTACTAGGATTGGTGTCCTTGCAGGGGGTTCCGTCCTTAGCACCTTTTTTTTGGTTAGCGGGCTATAAAAAGGATCGCCAAGCAGAGCAGGCCTTGGGCGCGGTGTCCTGGATGCGCCACCACATTTGGGCTGAAGGCGGGCCCACTTGCTGCTGGACTTGGGCTGTCGAGTTTCTGGTGGAACTCAAGGCATCGTGCAGTTAAAATAGTCCCAGACGCCTGCCCATTCCTGCTTGGAGCTGGAATCCTCATTTAAGGAGTGACTTCTTCACAAACATCCTTTCATGACGAGTCGCTGTTTTCTGGGGCAAAGTGAACCCGTCTAAAGTTTTATAGCCAGGTGTTCCTCCTAGCAACAGAGACCTCTTACACTTGCTTTAGTATTTTTGACCCAACTGGAGGGGTGAGAACTTTGGCTCCATGGTGAAGAGATGACATGGCCTAAGCGGTGCGTTTTCCATTATGGATTCTGTTTCTTAGGATGCGTGTGTAATGTATGTTGGAAGGATGCTGGAGAATCTTGGAAGGATGCGTGTATATGTTGGAAGGACGCATGTATAACGTACATTGGGAGGATATGTGTATAACATATGTTGGAAAGATGCATGCATAATGTATGTTGGAAACATACTGGAGAATGTTGGAAGGATGGTTGTATAATGTATGTTGGAAGGATGCTGGAGAATGTTGGAAGGATGCTGGAGAACGTTGGAAGGATGTGTGTGTAATATATGTTGGAAAGACGTGTATAACATGTTGGAAGGATGCATGTATAACATATGTTGGAAGGATGTGTGTATAATGTATGTTGGAAGGATGCTGGAGAATGTTGGAAGGATGCATGTATAATGTATGTGGGAAGGATGCTGGAGAATGTTGGAAGGATGCGTATATAATGTATGTTGGAAGGATGTTGGAGAATGTTGGAAGGATGTGGGTATAATGTATGTTGGAAGGATGCTGGAGAATGTTGGAAGGATGCTGGAGAATGTTGGAAGGATATGTGTATAATGTATGTTGGAAGGATGCTGGAGAACACATCAGAAGCCACCTTCCATTGAATCCACATTTCCCTGACAGTGAGATCTAAGCAGGGAAAACTTTGGGAGCTGTTCAGTTCCTAGATGATCTGGCTTCCTTCCCTTGATTATTAATGACCTTCACTTCAGAATTGCAATGACATTTGGGAAAATTAAGTTACACAGTTGTAAGCATAATACATTCTTTTCTTTAGGCTGCACAATTGGCGGGGTTCTGACTTCGGGCTTAGCTGCCTCACACAGCCTTTATCCTGAGTTTTTCAGGAGACAGCCCATTCTACTGCCACGAATAATTAGAAGTTTCAAGAATGAATTGATTTTGCAATATGGCAGCAGTAATTACCCATGCAAACTTTGATAATAAGAAGTGAATAATGAAACCTCAAACAGATCAAGCATGCGGGAGTACTATGTTTGGTTTTTGAGATACATTATGTTTCTAATTGACAATGAATGTAAAATGACTGTGAAACAGGTTATGTATAAAAGTTGGGTGGAAAGGTTTCACGTGACTTCCCTGTGTTTGTGGAACTGACGGTTGCTTATTTGCAAATACGTAATGGAAACTCCTGACTCTGAAATCAGGTCCCCGCAGCAATGTGCTGGTCCGCGTTTATCAACTGACTTTCCGATGCTGAGTGAGAGGGTGGGTGGGGAGGCCTCGTTCTAGTGTTTGCCAATTTCTGTGGTCCAGTTTCAAGCTGCTGCCATGAAGTTCCTGGACATGGAGTTGTGAGTTCTTGGCAGCCACCAGTTGTCTCCAGCTCATTGGAGCCGGCTCCTGCTCCGTGGTGCCCGCCTTCCTCTCTGTGGAGCTGAGCCCCACACCACAGTGTCCATCTTCCTATCTGTGGAGCTGACCCCCGCACCGTGGTGCCCGCCTTCCTCTCTGTGGAGCTGACCCCTGCGCTATGGTGCCCACGTTCCTCTCTGTGGAGCTGACCCCTGCGCTATGGTGCCCACGTTCCTCTCTGTGGAGCCGGCTTCCCACACCACAGTGTCCATCTTCCTCTCTGTGGAGCTGACCCCCGCACCACGGTGCCCGCCTTCCTCTCTGTGGAGCTGGATCCCCGCACTGTGGTGCCCGCCTTCCTCTCTGTGTAACTTTCCTGTGGTCTTTCCCCTCAGTAGCTGCAGTTGCTGTGTGCTTTCTGCAGGGTGGCGAGTTGTTTAGTTGTGCATTGGCAAAATGAAATATTGGATTGAAATGTAACCTTTGTAACAGAGTGCTTCATTTTTAAAAATTTACATAGGTTGAGCAAATTTTTTTTGTGATTTATATTTGGATGTTGAGTATATTTGTATTACAAGGTAGGATTTTGGAAGCCTACAGGTTGGCAGACCTAATTATACTTTATTAATGTTTCTGCATGTAGAGCTGTTGAAACAGAGTAGCCACTGGAGCACTTTGGAGGTTTAGTTCAAAACGGCAGAGGGACACCATTGTTGAAATGTTAGGAAAGGTTCTGTTTGATAATTGTAAATCCCCTAGATTTCTTGGGAGCTAAAGGTTTTAAAGAGCTTTTAATTTCATGATGGACAAATAAAGGAAACTCAGTGGCCAAGTTTGCATTCTCTCCTACGGGCCTGTCTCAAAGGACAACAGTTTGCGATAGCTGCTGGCAGTGAGAGTTTGGCGTGAGCGTATATGTTGAAATGAGTCTTGACTCCATTAGTGTCACACCTCTGTGGCATAGGATTCCTAAAGCTATGTAGACAATGACATTGTTACTTTGAATGCTTATACTAATAGTAGATGTTACATGCCTTTTTATAATGCTTTCCAGTTTATAAGGTGCTTTCACATTCATCTTGACTAGTCCTGTAACTTTGCTGTGAGATAGAAAATGTGTGTGCATTTTGCAGAAGAGAAAACAGATCCAGAGGTACCTGTGACTTCATTGTCCCACAGCTGTGCCTCAGATACAGGTTTGCGCTAAGTCAGTATGTGATACTATATGACCCTGAATAAGTCCTGAATTATCCACATGTGACTTTCCGGTCTCATATGAGGCAGAACAGCACGGTGTGGACCGGGAACCCTGACGTGGGAGCCGAAAGATGGGGAGGCTGTGGGCACGGCCCCCGGAGCCCCGGGACTGAGACATGCAGGCACCTCAGACGGGTTTGCTGCCACAATAAGTGGGAAATCTCCACGTGTGGATTGGTTACCTGTTTTCAGGAGGCCAGGGAGTGGTATTTACACATACAAGATTAAATATGAGGTCTCATTTCTTTGAAAGATCAAATACTTCAAGTAAATTTCTTTTTACCCAGATACTAAAATTATTTATAATGCCTTTTCTCTTTCCAAAAAGCACTCAAGTTGTGCGAACAGAATTCCATACGATGTGATTCACGCAGTGAGAACAGCAAAAGCAAAGTCAGGGCTGAGCTGGAGGGAGGAAGCGAAGGCAGATGCCCCGGAGCCTCCCCCGTGACCCGCCTCTAATGACCCAGCGCCACCTTCCATGGGCTGGGGCGCTCTTTTCCTGCATCCTCTCTCTCTCTGCCCAGCTAAAGAGAAAAAAAGCCACGTTCCTCATATGCTTGAAAGGACTTCATTTCATAATCTGGAAATGCCTTTATTAGAAAATTGGTCATGCTATTTAATTCCTGCTAGAACAAGGGGGTGTGGATCAATAGTGTTGGGACCACAGGTCTTTTATTTCATGAGGCTTGCTTCTAGCATGGATGCTGTCTTTGTGCTGAGTGGAAAAATGTGACCCCCTGGGGAAAATGCAGCCTCTAAATGAAGCAGGGTCAGCCCCCATCCGTTCTGGGCCGGGCACTTCTGTGCAGAGCAAGGATTGCACGGTTATAGATGGTGGCCCTATTAACCCCAGAGCAGGTTAATGTACGTATTTATCTAGGTTTGTGGTTTACAGCCAATTTAATGTGGAGACATAAAGAAGTTTAATAGCTCAAGGCTGCATGTTCTGTGGATGCTTCTGTGCTGAGAGGGTTCATGACTAAACCTGGTGTGTGATACTCCTGTTTTAATGATATACCAGTGTAAATTCCTGGGACCTTTCTGTGTGGTGCAGATCTGTGGGGCTGGAAATAGACCTACAGTTACTTTTTGGGAGATTTTTGGCTTTGTCTGAGGATTCATCCTTGGGGGTGTCAGGAGGGTAGATTTCTGTCACATCTTCTGATTCTCCAAACCCCACTCTCCACCATCCTGTAACTTTGTGTGTAACTATCGACACAGGGCACACTGCCACAGGTTCCTGTGAGAGGGTCTACGCCAGGTCCTTAGAGAAGGATGGTTCGGGCAAAGCCTCCCATTGGGAGACTCTGAAATCTCTTCCTAAATTGAGAGAGAGCCCTGTCTTGAAGACGTCTTCTGCAACTCAGCCTGCATCTGTGTGGATGGTGCTGTGGTGCTGTGGCGTTGCCCTCCCTTGGGAGGAGGGAACATCTGTGAAACCCATCACTGGGCTGGGCGCGGTGGCTCACGCCTGTAATCCCAGCGCTTTGGGAGGCCGAGGTGGGTGGATCACAAGGTCAGGAGATCGGGACCGTCCTGGCTAACACGGTGAAACCCGGTCTCTACTAAAAATACAAAAAATTAGCTGGGCGTGGTGGCTGGCACCTGTAGTCCTAGCTACTCGGGAGGCTGAGGCAGGAGAATGGTGTGAGCCCAGGAGGCGGAGCTTGCAGTGAGCCGAGATCGCACCACTGCACTCCAGCCTGGGCGACAGAGCAAGACTCCATCTCTAAAAAAAAAAAAGAAACCCATCGCTGGAATGAGACTGTTGTCAGAGTCTCGGTGGCACCTGCCACAGCCGCCACCCACTCCCCTGGAATTCCCGAATCACACGGCTGGTCATGCGTTTGCCTTAGCTTTTGGAAAATGAAACAAATGTGTGGTCATTTGTTAAATCTCCCCATCTATTCATCTCTCTGTCCGTCCGTCAGTTCACCCGTCTGTCCATCTGTCCCAGGGCGTGGTTTCCGTGTGTGTTAACCATGAGTCCTCCTCATTGTAGACTCTCCCCACTCTCTTTTTTGTGTCCGTCCATCAGTTCACCCGTCCGTCCATCTGTCCCAGGGCATGGTTTCCGTGTGTGTTAACCATGAGTCCTCCTCATTGTACACTCTCCGCACTCTCTTTTTTCTGCCCGTCCGTCAGTTCACCCGTCCGTCCATCTGTCCCAGGGCGTGGTTTCTGTGTGTGTTAACCATGAGTCCTCCTCATTGTAGACTCTCTGCACTCTCTTTTTTCTGTCTGTCCGTCAGTTCACCCGTCCGTCCATCTGTCCCAGGGCGTGGTTTCCATCTGTGTTAACCATGAGTCCTCCTCACTGTAGACGCTCCGCACTCTCTTTTCCTATCCACCCCAGTTTTCCCACCCACGTATTTGTAGGTTACCTTAAAGTCTTTCCAGTGTAAGACAAGCTACATATATACATGAAATTGATGACAAAACCCAAGGTTGACACCAATGCTGATGTCACTCATGAAACCATCGGATTAAGAAAATGTGGCACATATGCACCATGGAATACTATGCAGCCATAAAAAATGATGAGTTCTTGTCCTTTTTAGGGACGTGGATGAAGCTGGAAACCATCATTCTCAGCAACTATTGCAAGGACAAAAAACCAAACACCACATGTTCTCACTGATAAGTGGGAATTGAACAATGAGAACAGTTGGACACAGGAAGGGGAACATCACACACCGGGGCCTGTTGAGGGATAGCATTAGGAGAAATACCTAATGTAAATGATGAGTTAATGGGTGCAGCACACCAACATGGCACATGTATACATATGTAACAAACCTGCACGTTGTGCACATGTACCCTAGAACTTAAAGTATAATAAAAAAAATTAAAGAAAATAAATTTAAAAAAAAGAAACTCAATCCAGGCTTCTCCAGTGTCAATGCAGAGGGGCACCCAAGTCACCCACTTGTTGTGATTTCAAGGCAAATGGCTGATTTGTTGGGCAGTGGAAGTGAAAATGTTGATCAAGCAGCCGGATCGTGCATCTTGGTTTGGGAATTTGGTCTGGAAGCCTGGAGTTGAGCTCCTAGAGAGCTGCGTTGAGACCAAGATGATCCTGGCACTGATGCCCGGGAGGGCACACCCAGGGCTCAGCCTCTTGTGGGGACAGCCTGGGCCATAGCCTTCCTCAGGACTGGAAGGGCCTCCTCTCTAGGGTTTGCCCCTTCCTGGGAAGAGAAGAAGGTGTGAGAGGCAGGAAGCTTGTGGAGCCACTGCTTTTTCATAGCTTGTCCTGCTTCAAAGTAAAACACCAGTGAAGCACATACATTTTCAGGAGTGAAGGGCCGGGGATAGTAAAGCGACTGTTGAGTCACCCCTTTTGCCTATTTTACCCACTAAGGTTTGGACATCAGTATTGTTCCCTCCCTCCCTCCATCCCTCCCTCCCTCCCTTCCTTCCTTCCTTCCTTCCTTTCTTCCTGACAGTCTCACTCCATCACCCAGGCTGGAGTGCAGTGGTGCAACCACAGTTCACTAGAACCTCCACTTCTCAGGCACAAACAATCTTTCCACCTCAGCCCCTCAAGTAGCTGAGACTACAGGTGTGCGCCACCACACCCAGCTAATTTTTGAATTTTTATAGAGGTGAAGTCTCCCTATAATCCCCAGGCTGCTCTCGAACTCCTGGGCTCAAGCTGTGCTCCTGCCTTGGCCTCCCAAAGTGCTGGAATTACAGGTGCGAGCTACTGCACCCAGACTGATTCTCTTTTGTTATTGTTGTTACTGGACAGCGTCTCCAGAATATTCTTTTGTTGTTGCTGAGACAGGGTCTCGCTCTGTTGCCAGGCTGGAGTGCAGTGGTGCGATCTCAGCTCATTGCAAACTCCACCTCCCAGGTTCAAATCATTCTCCTGCCTCAGCCTCCTGAGTAGCTGGGATTACAGGGGTGTGCCACCACGCCTGGCTGATTTTTGTATTTTTAGTAGAGATTGGGTTTCACCGTGTTGGCCAGGATGGTCTCAATCTCCTGACCTCGGGATCCGCCTGCCTCGGCCTCCTAGAGTGCTGGGATTACAGGCGTGAGCTACTGCGCCCGGCCTCCAGAGTATTCTTTTGTGAGGTAAAGTTGATCAAAATGAATAAATACAAGCTGGATGACAATGAGACTGCCTCATGACTTTCTGAGATATGTAATGATTAATTTGTAGAGTGCAGAGACAAATTATTTGGTAGGTTGCATGTCTAGGGCTGTGGATGATGTGAGCAGCTGAAGATATTCAGCCCTGCAATTTGGGAGCTACGGGTGTAAAATCTAAGTGAATTTACCTAAGTTTTGTGCCTTCCCCAGCTCTGGAATCTCAACCTCGTCTGAATTCCGAAGGCATTCTTTCTGGTCTGTGTGGGTCTGTGTGCAGGAGACTGGGGCATGGAAATGTGTGTTTGTGCATGCACTTACTGGAAATTCAAAACATTTTAGATTTAAGCCTCCTGTTTTAAAATATGCCTCTGTTATTTGGTTTCAGCCAGTCAAGGCCCCTTAAAATGGTGAGTGTTGGTAATTTGTTTTTAAGCCATTCGTAGAATTAGGGTTTACCAGTCGTCTGACAACCTGTGTCGCTTAGATGGGCTTTTATAACCATGCACGTTTAGTTCTAGACTGTTTTCTGATTGTGTAGACTGGGTACAGTGTGATTCTTAGTGAAAGACAGTGAGACAGGCACGGCTGTGTCTGTGCCACGCTGTGTCTGTGCCCCGCTGTGTCTGCATCGATCCTGAACAGGTGTACTTGGTGTTCACCGCAGTCTTCTGTGTTGTTGTCTTTGTGAACAAGACTGTGGTGATACCTTGTGGATAAAATACGAGTTGCTGTGGATTTGTTTCTGGGAAGACAATTGTGTTAACCCACCCTGTTATTCAACTTAAGTTCTTAACTAAGATAATGTTGTTCCATCCTTTTCTTTTATAGCTTTTTAGACATAGAGGCACGTAGACATATACGGGTAAGACAAACTAGCTTGAATTGAAGACAAACTGATATAGTTATGAGCTATTGGAGACATCAAAGCATATTTTTTGAGTTATTGGAAAGATCTAAACATTATTTTTTAAACATTCAAATCTGAAGACTGAGCTTTCAGTGCTGTAGGGTTTTTTGTTGCTGTTGTTGTTTGTTTATTTTGAAACAGGGTCTCACTGTGTTGCCCAGGCTGGAGTGCAGTGGTGCGATCAGAACTCACTGCAGCCTCAAGTTCCTGGGCTCAAGTGATCCTCCCTTCTTGGCCTCCCAAAGTGCATGGATTATAAGCATCAGCTACTGTGTCTGGCCAAAAAGCTTTGCTCTATTTTGAGAGTAAAAAGTACTTGGCATCTAAAAATACATTATTATTTGACCCGAAATGGAAAGACTTGACATTGTAATTGAAACTGGTTTAATGTATTAGGAAGGAGTTGTGCACATAATATGGTAGGACTGGTAGGAAGGAAAAACAGCCGTCCTGTCCTAGGTGCCCTCATGGTGCTGGGGTAGCTGAGACAGAGCTGCCGACATCAGGCCGCGACGGGCAGGATGCTTGTGCTTTCTGATGTTCTCAGTCTTTCTTGTTTGCCTAAAGTACTAGGTTTTGGGCAGCGTGAGTGGGGAAGGGAAGCTGGTGGAGTCTGTGAGTCCCCCCTGCTGATGAGCTCCCCCACTGCTGATGAGCTCCAAGGAAAGGCAAGTCCTGCTGGGCAGTGTTCATTTGCTGCCACCATCCACCCAGTTAACATCAGGTTGGCCTTGAGAATAGAGTCCACTGTTCACACTGGGGTCCTGAGAATAGGAGAGGCTGCGCCAGTACAGGATGGGGCCCCGGTGTGCCCGGGATCCGTCCGGCCGAGAAGCAGCAAGTCCCTGGAGGAAACTGCACCAGGGAAGATGGTCAGAAAGACCAGCCTGCATGGGGTGTGAGCTGCTGGGCCGTGCTCGCCACCACCCGCCTCTCTTTCCTCTGCAGGACACAGAAGGCTCTGCCATGTGGCTGTGCTCTCTGTGGTGTCTGGAATATTTTCTTCCATTTCCTCACTACTGAAATCTTTCCCTTTACTAAGAAATGCCTTTAAAATGGAAATGTCTTTGAAACCTGGGTAGCAGTTTTAATAACTCCCTTCCACCCCATGTCTATAACTAGCATTGGGGTCCCCAGGAGCACCCCCACTCAGCGATTCACTGGGAGGACTCCTGGAGCTCATGCCCAGCAGGATGGCCATGATTTGTTACAGAGAAAGCACGCGGAGCATGGTCAGCAGAGCGAGAAGGTGGAGGAGAGAGGTCCAGGGAAACCAGGTGGAAGCTTCCAGAGCTGCTCCCCACAGAGTCCCAGGAGGGGACACACATCAGGCTGTGACCACGCATGTCATCCAACAGGAAGCTTGTGAGAGACATGGTGCCCAGGGTCGTGCTGGGCTCTGCCCACAGAGGCACCCCTGCCTGGCACTTACCCAAATTCTGGGCTCCCAGCAGGACAGCAGGTGTGTGGTATAAACCATATGTTTGCACAGTTTAGGCACAGGAAGCCCCTGTTATCAGGGAATAGCCCCCAAATCCACATTCCCAGGTTCAAGGACTGTAGAAGCTTCCCTTTCTACGGAGCAGAGTTTCAGGCCTGCTTTGTGAATCCTGGGTGCATAATAACAATAAGCAAATCTAAAAACAATTCAGCAGGCACAGTGGCTGATGCCTGTAATCCCAGCACTTTGGCAGGCAGAGGTGAGTGGATTGCTTGAGCTCAGGAGTTTGAGACCAGCCTGGGCAACATGGTGAGACCCCATCTCTACTAAAAACAATTAGCCAGGTGTGGTGGTGCCCGCCTGTAGTCCTAGCTACTCAGGAGGCTGAGGTACAAGGAGTGCTTTAGCCCAGGAGGCAGAGGCTGCAGTGAACCATGATCGTGCTTGGGCAATCTGCCCAGCCTGGGCGACAGAGCGGGACTGCACACCAGCCTGGGTGACAGAGCGGAACCCTGTCTCAAAAGATATAAAAAAAAATAAATAAAAATAATTGCAAAAATGATTTTCAGATACACTTTGCCCGAAAAACTCTGTGAGGATGAGGGCCGGGTTTACTGTGTGCTTGCTTCATGCTGAGCACTTGGCAGGATGAGCTGAATCCTGGTCCTCACCCCACTTTCCCTCGTTTTTGTTACTGCCTATCATTCATTCCCCGGGTGCTCTTGGAAACCTTCCACCTGCAGCTCCATCTTCCACATCACAGGTTTACCTAAGTGTACATTTCACTCTTTGTAACTTCGCAACTTGATGCAGATTTAATCCTTGCCTTGTCTTCCTTCTTTAACTCACCATCTCCATCTCCTTCTGCGAGATTTCATCTCAGGCCCTTTTCTTCCTTTTTTGTTTATAGTCCTAGGAATCTTTTTTATAACTTTTTTTCCCAAGACTAGATGGCTCTTTAGACTTGTTTCCCCTGATTTCCGTGGCGCACACTTTCCTGGGCTCAGGGTTTAAATGTTGGTCAGACCCGTCCTCCCTGTTGCAGTGTTGAGTGTGGATGCGTGTCTATGGCCATTTCTGTGTCCACGTGTCCACAGACCCGACCTCCCTGTTGCAGTGTTGAGTGGGGATGTGCGTCTATGGCCATTTCTGTGTCCACGTGTCCACAGACCCGACCTCCCTATTGCAGTGTTGAGTGTGGATGCACGTCTATGAGCATTTCTGTGGCCACGTGGCCACGTGCTTTCACATGACCCATGCATCCCGGAACGGGAGGAGACCTCCCTTTCACTGGCATTTCCCATAGACAGTCTGTGGGATTGTCCTGGTCCCGTGTCCCTTCTGCCTGGAGGACCCTGGAAACTCCTCCGCTGGCAGCGCAGCTGTTACAGATGCTGTTCTGTACCTGTCACGGCTACTGCCACCCAGCCATCCTCCACCCAGGTGGCTGCGCTGCTCAGAGCAGGCTTCCCACTGCCAGTCCTGTCGGGCCGCCTCCCATTGAGCCACTGGCCACGTCCTGGCTCTTCTGCTCTTGGTCTTGGCCAGCCAAGGGAGCCGGGCCAGGGTCCTCACCCACCGCTGGTCTCTGCTCTCCTCTGAGAACGTGCATCTTCCAGTGGACGGCGAGACGTTCGGGCAGAAGAACTGGACAGCTGCTTCTGGGGTGATGTCAGCCTTATCCTATGGGTGGGAGCCGGCTGCAGGCTGCATTTCTGAAACGGCAAATATCTGGGTGGGACACAGGTGTGTGGCATGCTGGCCCGGGTGTGGCACAGCTGGGCAGGTGCCGTGTGCGCAGTTGGCGCCACTTTCCTGGGAGAAACGGCTCCTTGTTTCTTGCAGCAAATGACGATCTGTCCTTGTTTTCAGAGGCGCCGAGTTTTTGGTGTTTTCATGGAAGTTGGTGGAGGCTGTGTAAGGGTGTGAGCCAGATAATACTTTAAGCTGGAAGTGGAAGCCTTCTCTCTTCTCTAACCCATTAACCGTATCTCTATGGGATGAGTCCTGCTCACTTTATTCTGAGAGAGAGAGGTGCTAATTGCGGTAAAGGGACAGCGGACCCCTCCGGAGGGAAAATGAATCCCTGAGGTTATTCAAGTCATGCCGAATTTCTTATTTCGAGATGGAAGACAGTTTTAATATTTGCCCCCAAAATTTAAAAGTAATTCCAGGAAGGCATTTTATTGAAAAGAAGACTCTGCACTAAAGGGGAAAGGTTTTTAAAACTATGACTTACTTCATCTTTGATGAAAACTGTTGTTTGTTGGGTTTAAAATAAATTAAAATTATTTCTAAGCAGCACCTTATTCTGGGATGGTTTTGTGGGAGTGTGCATTGTGTTCTGAGAAGCTTTGATTATTTGCAACCATGAACCATATCTAATAGAAATAGTTTTACTATGTATTTTAATACCCTCCCTTTAAACAGAAGTGTCAGATAAAGACAGTGATTGATCTTTCCAGCAAAGCTTTGCTTATTTAGCAGTGGCAGTTTCATTGCTAAACAGGTATTCAGGTGGCACATAAATCAAATTGGAGAGACTTGATTTATGGCCACTGTTCTCTCAGGTGTGAGTTGGGGTTAATGTGCAGGCATCTTAAGCACTGATGCACAAATAATGAAAGAAAATAAAATGTTTCTTGAGGGGAAATGAGACCAGGAGTTTTGGAATATAGAGGGAGGTGCCCAGGGCTGGGAATTGCAAGCCCTGGGCTCTGATGGATGCTTGTTACCATGGAGTGCATTACTCTGTATCACACTCGGGTGTGTGTTGATTTTGCTACCATGTTAAAAGCTATGTCAAACCCCGGGTGGGTGTTCCCTGACTGCAGCAAGTTACTACGGAACAAGTTACTAGGTAGCAAACCACAGGTTATCCGGGCTGTGTCATAATGTCTGTGAATGAGACGGGTGGTCTGTGTCAGTCTTGGCGGACAGGCTTTCTCTCCTGTGTTAGGTAGCAAACCACAGGTTATCTGGGCTGTGTCATAATGTCTGTAAATGAGACGGCTGGTCTGTGTCAGTCTTGGCAGATAAGCTTTCTCTCCTGTGTCACGTCCCATGACAGTGTCTTTCCCTAGGAATGCGTGGAGGAAGACTCTGAGGGGCCACTGCCTTGATGGATTGTGATGCCCACGAGGGCATGGGTGTGAGTGCTGATGCCGCTCTGACCCTCCATTTTAATTACCTTCCGCCCAGGAGCTGGAGATGCCAATATGCTTAACCCTGCATTCAGAATGAAAAAGCTACAGTTCCTGAAGTTGACATAACTAGTTAGGATATTCGCTAAGAAGGAAACAGGGGGTGACGTTTAAGTGTATCTTTTTAAGGGTATGGCGTAGAATTCCTTGGGAATCAGGATTGCATTTTACCAGTTTAGAGACCCCTCTGAGCTTGGTGCATAGGGGACAGTCAGTGGAAGCGTTTAATTTGAACTGAATTGAACCTGTGCTTGTATCAGATGTCAGGGGTCTGTTCCTGGAGAAATAATGTAGGAGGAAAGCGTAACTAATTAAGGGAAAATGTCTCAGACGCTGGCTTTTAAAATAATTAAACAATCAAAGACTGCCAAAGGTCTAAAGTTTATGAGATGCACACTCAAGTAATTTAGCTGCTGTGTGGCAGGCAGAAATGGCCTGTGAGTGATTTCAGGGTCAGCTCAAACAGAAATTATCTTCTGAAGAGAGGGATCCAGCTTAATGTTCTTAAGTTAAATCAATGATGCTGTTAACATTGCTTTGAATTCCGTAGTTACTGATGAATGTCACATGACAGCATCCATTGCGTATTGATGGCTGTAGATAGGAGCCTATAAACATGAGAAGTGCACGTTTGGAGGGAGCTTCATGGAAAGATGTCTCTGGTTTTCAGTTTCTAGTCCATTTTAGGGTCTCCACTTGGGAGCAACACCAGCTACGTCCCTCACAGCCACTGCTGATTATGTCTTGAAGGAGGTGACGTTAATTCAGTCAATCCCAGAGATACTGGCCCTTCCTAGGTGATGTGGGTAGAAGACAGTGAGGCCATCTCTGTCCTCCGGCTCACGTTTTTGGAGGCGAGAGGGCAGTACCGACAGCAGGTTAGCAGATGTTGGGGCCAGATCCTCTCGGAGCCCTGGGCTTGGACGTTGGGTGGGGTGGATGGGGAGGGACAATGTTGTGGGGTCCTGTTGTGTGGTGACTGTTAGGGCAGGACTGTAAGCCCGGTGAAGTTTAGTGCTGGCCTTGCCGAGGTGCAGGACGTGAATTTACAGAGGCACATTTCAGAAACTTCGGGAAGCTGGCACTGCATGCTTATCCCGGTTATTCTTTTTTTTTTTTCTTTCTTTCTTTTTGAGACGGAGTTTTGCTCGTTGCCCAGGCTGGAGTGCAATGGCGCGATCTCTGGTCACTGCAACCTCCACCTCCTGGATTCAAGGGATTTTCCTGCCTCAGCCTCCTGAGTAGCTGGGATTACAGGCATGCACCACCATGCCTGGCTATTTTTTTGTATTTTTAGTAGATACATGGGGTTTCTCTGTGTTGGTTAGGCTGTTCTTAAACTCCCGATCTCAGGTGATCCACCTGCCTTGGCCTCCCAAAGTGCTGGGATTGCCAGCATGAGCCACCGCGCCTGGCCAATCCAGGTTATTCTTACTAAATCCAGACGTTGTGAAGGCCTGCTTGCTATTAATATATTGATAATTATGTTGATAATGGTGAAAGTGTAGGCACGTGTGGGTGATTGCTTGCTATTGGTGTATTGATAGTTGATAATGGTGAAGATGTATTGATAATTATGTTGATAATGGTTAAAGTGTATTGATAATTATGTTGATAATGGTGAAAGTGTAGGTGCGCGTGGGTGATGGCCACTTGGAGTGTTTTGGGTATGATTGCTTTTAGAGAAGAAATCTTATTTTGTCACTCAAGCTGGTGTGCAGTGGCCTTCTGGGCTCAAGCTATCCTCCCATCTCAATCTCCAAAGTAGCTGGGACGACAGGTGCACACCACCTTGCTCAGCTAATTTTTATTTTTTAATTATAATGTTTTTTTTGTAGAGGGGGTGTCTCCTTATGTTGCCGAGGCTGGTCTTGAATTCTAGGGCTTAAGCGATCCTCCCAGCTCAGCTTGTTTCATATACATATATGAAATGTGAATGGTTGTCTCTGGGCTGAAGTTACCTCACGGAAGGATGGTGTTCTGTGTGGAGGCTGGACAGGGCTGGATTTGTGGTGGTCCAGGAATCCATGACTTGGGGGGCAGCCTTGTGGATGGGTGCGGAGAGAGTGTATTAGCACAGCTTGGATGTCCACATTGTGGACGGAGTAACCCTGTGGGCTTTGCAGGTGTATTAGGGCCCTCCAGAGAAGTGGAAGTCGTTGGATATATGTGGGTGTATTTGTTTACACATATGTAGACCCCATGCTTATATATATAAATCTCATCATGTATATCTGTGTGAATAGAAGGAGATTTGTTAAAAGGAATTGGCTCATGTGGTTATGAGGCTGACGAGTCTGAGATCTGCTCAGCCAGCTGAAGGCCCAGGAAGAGCCCATGTGTCCATTCTAGCATGAAGGCAGGAAAAAATGTGGTGTTCCAGTTCAAAGGCAGGCAGGGGCGTTGCATAATAAAATGTATTTTAATTAATTAATTCAGGGTTTTCCCGCCCTACTGAATGGGGTTGCGCTCACAGGAGGAGCGGATATGTCATGGAGAATGAACACATCACACTGCCATTACTCAGTGAGTAACTCACTTGGGCTCCGGGCCGCTCGGGGGCACAGAGCAGGTCTTAGCCATGCTGTCAATTTTCCGTGTTCTGACGCTTTCATGTCTGGGCCTCGCTGACTTGGGAGGGATGGCTTTTCCTGGGCTGGCCGGTTCCTGGGGACAGTGAGCGGCTCGCCTGTGGTCGTGCCTGTACATGAAGCCGACTTCCAGAGCCCACGCCCACCACTCCCTCCGTGGGCTCTCATGCTCCTGACTGCTGACAGCCCAGAGCCCTGGGACCATTCAGCCTGGCCAGGCCTAAGCCTGCTGGCCCTGCTTTCCCGTTCTTCCTTCCCAGATCCCAGTGAGGGCTCCCCGTGTTGGCCACCCCCCTCACACCTCCTGGCCTTCCCAGTGCACCTGTGTGGCCCTGGCCCTGTGGCAGGCCCTGCCTCCAGGTCGGGGGTCTGTGTGTTTCCACTGCTCCATCCACGATGGTAATTTCTGTCTCTGTGTCTCACCGCACCTGAGTAAACAGATCCCAGGAACCCTGAAAACAAGCAGAATCTGTGCCCATTGCTCTCCTGGCTCCTGGAGGGCACAGTGGGCTCTGCTCCTGCTGGGAGGAGAGCGGCAGGTTTCACCGGGTGGCACAGGGAGCTGCTCTCTGGAACCGCCTGGGCGGCCGTGGCCAGGGCATGAGCTGAAGGGGGTGTGCGGCAGCCGTGGGTGGCCGCCGAGGGGCTGGCAGCAGCTGAGCCATGTGGAGCTAAACTGAGTGAGCCAGGAGGAAGGATGAGGGTGCTGGCACACAGAGCTGGCCGCACCCACAGGAGCCGTCACACAGCGGAGCTGCCCTCCTCCGGCAAGGACGGCTGCAGTTGTGTAATAATCCTGGTGGGGCTCACAGCACTGCGTGGCAGGAGCGGAGCGAGCCTCGTAGGCGTTCCAGGTGTTCCCTGAGCCGGATTAAATGCCTCTGCGCTGTGGGGGTGGGGACAGCGTGGGGGGAAGCCAGGAAAAGCCGGGGCCAGAGGACCCCCCGCCGAGAAAGAGAAAGAGCTCAGAGCCGGGGACTGGAGGCCTGGAGGAGCCGATGTGGGAGAGATCCTCGTGGGAGGGCCCCAGTGGCCGGGATGGTAAAAGACTTCGGAGCAAACTAATCGATTGTAATTACATGAAGGTGAAGCTGGTGATGATGTGTCAGATGGGGAGTGTTCAGGAAAACTCCTACAAAGGTAAGAACGCTGTTTATAGAACATGATCCATTATGGGGGATTCATGTTGATGGAGGACAGTGATGAGCCTATGGGGATTTTCTTGAAGCTTCTGTGGCGACTGTTTTCTTACTTGAACATGTTGATTCAATGACTAAAAATGACCGTGACTGTAGCACTTTGTGGGGGTGTGTTTAAAACGTTCTGGTCCCCAAGGCTCTTGGGTCTACCTGAGCATACGCGGCACACACCAAAGGTCTCAGGGTGGAATTGTTCACGTCAGGAATGTGCTTTGAGCAGGTGGCTGATTTTGAGGTCCTTAAAGTTCAAAGTCCTCCGCGTGTGTCCCTCACCCAGAGAGGGCACTTAACGCCTCCGAGCCTCAGTGTCCTCATAGATCAGACATAATCGTAACAATTCTGTTCTTAACAGGAGAATCGTGGGGCCCAGCACCGTGGGGTAGGGTATGGGGTTGTTGTCGGCTGTCATACAAACGTGTCAAGCCAGACACACCAGGGAGGGACAGAGGTCTTGGGATGTATGGAGCAGGAAGGAGATTTGGAGTATGGGGTTAGAGTTGGGAATTACTGTTCTTGGTCGTTCCTGGAGATTATAGTTAGAAATTTCTCAAGAAGTATATAATGAGAAAAAAAGGGCAGAGTTCAGAGAGCTAAATTGCAAAAAACAAACAAAAAAACCCCACAAAGGACCAGCACACAGATGCACAAGTTCCCCTGAAGGGGCAGAGCAGTGCCAGGCCCATCAGATGCCATGGGACACACTTGAATTCCATAGCAGAGCAGAGGGAAGCACGTGTGTGCAGTAGAAGGGATGCCGGCCAGCCATGGGGTCCCGGGAGAACGGGACCAGAGTTCCCTGCCCAGGGCTGAGGGTCTCATGGTCTTTGTGGCAGGTCCTGTGACTGGGGAGGGCGCCAGCCTGAAGCCACCTCCTAGGAGAATTTCTGGTCATGTCATAGACACGGATGTACTGAGGCTGAGTTCATATTCAGTAGGCCTCATGGACGCAGATTTACGAGATTTTCCTGGACATGATTCCCTGAGGTCGAGTTTGCGTTCACTAGGTGTCCTGGACACGGTTTACCGAGGTTGAGTGTGTGTTCACTAGGCATCCTGGACAGGGATTACGGAGGTCGAGTTTGCGTTCACTAGGTGTCCTGGTCGGGGATTTACGGAGGTCGAGAATGTGTTCAGTAGGTGTCCTGGACGTGGATTTACTGTGCCCTTAGTGTATCCCAGGCTTCATGGAAGAGGAATGAGGAACAGGTCCCCAGCTTGGTGCTCAGGTGCCTGTTTGATTCTTGTGGTGACAACACGGGTGATGCTGGCGGGGACTGGGTACTTGACACCTTGCAAAGGCATCTGTGAAGGGTGGGATGCACTCAGAAGACAGCATAAGGTTTTTGATTTAGAGGAATAAAAAAAAATAAAGCACAGGGGAAGAACTTGGTGATACTGGACAGGTCCTCCTCTGCCCTTTGCCTTGCACCCCGGGTCAGGCGCAAGGTGTCCACATGTGGAGGAAATAGGTGGGAATCGCTGCCCTCGATGCAGGAAGAACCAGAAGATTCACAGAGCCTTCGAGTTAGAAGGGACTCGAGGATTTTCTGTTGCGAAGCCTGATTTCACAGAGGAGGAAACAGGAGCACTGAGGCCGTAAGTGGGTGGTCTGGGCTTACACCAGGGTAGGGGCAGGGTGGGCCGGACGGCTTTTCAGGCAGTTTTGGCTGCAACACACTGCTCAAGGTTTCTCTGGAAAGATGAAGACCCCCCCCGCCATTCCCACTCTAAACATCCCAGACCCCCCACCATTCCCCCTCTAAACATCCCAGACCCCCTGCCATTCCCCCTGTAAACATCCCAGAACCCCCGGCCATTCCCCCTCTAAACATCCCAGACCCCCCGCCATTCCCCCTCTAAACATCCCACACCCCGCTGCCATTCCCCCTCTAAACATCCCAGACCCCCCGCCATTCCCCCTCTAAACATCCCACACCCCCCTGCCATTCCCCCTCTAAATATCCCGATTCCCCGCCATTCCCACTCTAAACATCCCACACACCCCTGCCATTCCCCCTCTAAACATCCCACACCCCGCTGCCATTCCCCCTCTAAACATCCCAGAACCCCCGCCATTCCCCCTCTAAACATCCCACACCCCCCTGCCATTCCCCCTCTAAATATCCCGATTCCCCGCCATTCCCACTCTAAACATCCCACACACCCCTGCCATTCCCCCTCTAAACATCCCAGACCCCCCCGCCATTCCCCCTCTAAACATCCCAGAACCCCGCCATTCCCCCTCTAAACATCCCAGACCCCCCCATTCCCCCTCTAAACATCCCACACACCCCGCCATTCCCCCTCTAAACATCCCACACCCCCCGCCATTCCCCCTCTAAACATCCCACACCCCCCGCCATTCCCCCTGTAAACATCCCACACCCCCCACCATTCCCCCTCTAAACATCCCACACACACCCCATTCCCCCTCTAAACATCCCACACCGCGGTACTCAAGCAGTGTTTGCCTGGCTTTGGTTGAGAGTTCCCGGCAACAATGAGGGCTGCAGTCTAATTATACTTAGAAGGAAATATTGATCTTGGTTTCCATGATTTATAGTACAAGTCATTTCCACTTTAATTTGAGTTACCAAGAATGGACACATTAGTGCAGGATGGAATTGAAATGTATTGGGCACTATAGAAATTACTTTGGTCTCTGGCTTTGTTTTTTCACCTCAGAAATGTGTATTTTTTTCTTCCTGCCATTGCAGTTCTAATTTTCTGTGTTGTGTCTCTGGGAGGAGTGAGTTGGTGCACCTGCTCATCCTGATTCATGATTTTCTTGTGCCTGTCAGTCTGAGACAGGCCACACTGATGTGTTTGCATCGGGTTGAAGGCTGAGAATTCTGACTCAGACCTGGCGACCCTGGCCTCTCCTTTTTGCAGACCTTAGAAAAGTGAGTGACTCACTGTAGAACCCAGGGCTACGCAGCCCCTTGCCTTCCTGGAGGAAGCAAAGGCAAGACGTGGAATCCAGTTTGTTCTCCTCTTGGTTGATCATGTGGTCATGGAATCAGTGCACGATCCACCTGCTCTGCCGGCCACCAGCGTTTAAAGACAAATGCAATGTTGTCTCTGCTTTAGGGGAAATTATTGTGTCCTACAGAGAGACAGTAACATGAACGAAGAGTTCCTGTGCTGGGGTGCACACCAGGGACTCCAGGCACACACAGCATGATGTAACAACACTGCATCAGAAGCCAGGGGGTGAGAGGGTTCTCTGCAGAAAAGGTCCGAGGAGGGGACTTCAATGCTGAGTCTTTTACAATAGATTGCCAGGCAGACAGAGATATTCTAGTTAGTGGAGGAAACCTGCAAAGACTACCTGGAGATGCAGAGAGGGCAGGTGCGTCCTGGGCTTGCCGCCACGTTGGGTGTGGGACACAGGCTGTGGGCCAGACACCAAGAGCAGGTGCAGGTGTGCGGGGATTGGGAGCCTCATGGAGACCCCACACTGCAGAGACTTCCTCCCGCTGTCTTCCAGAGCTGTGGGAGCCACACCAGTGTGCCAGGCCGTGGTGCAGAGGCTGTCCTGTGAACAGTGAAAACCAGGGAACTCAGATTTACATCCCGTTTATTATGTAATGGGAGGGAGGCGCCTTGCTCATGGAAATCCCTCTGGAACTGCATGAATTGGGAGGACTCTGTGGGTTGTTCTGGAGATGAGTGGGGAGGGAGGCAGGGGAAGGGCAGAGGTTTGGGGGCTCAGATCCATTCTTCTGGGTTTCCTTAAATCCCCAGTGAAGATGACATAATCACAGAATTGTCTTCGTCAAATGATTTCCCGAGGTGGGGGCAGTAAAAGGGAGGATTTTTTTTTTTGCAGCTGAATAGAAACGCATGTGTAGGTAGGAGGTATGTGTGAGAAAGCCGTCAGCTGAAGTCCAGGCACTGAGGCCACTGCCCTACTGAATCTTGCTCCTGGATCTTGGTCCTGGGACAGGCGGGTGTCTGAGGGCTGAGGAGCAGCGTGTGCAGCTGACACGGGCCAGTTGTGTTTCTGAAGAAGTGGTTTCCAGTTATGTCCACACCCTGGTGTCTGGGGTCTCCCACGCTGAGGGAGCAGGCAATGGCAGGGGCGTTTCACGCGAGGGTGAGAACAAGAGCGCTCTGCCTCTCCCGCCTCCTGGCTCTGGAAAAAGCATCAGGAACATGTTCTAGAAAAAGCCGCCTGTGATTCCTTCTTAAATTCCCTGGCTACCCTGGGATCTGGGATTCCTGGCCCTTCTGTTAAGAATCCCAGGTATCTCGGCCGTTATTTTTAGGCACTGCCACTTGTCATGATGTTCTTCCTGCAGTGAGAGCTGGGACATTTGGCTCCCGGGAAGCTTGGTTCCTTACTTCCATTTGAATTTCATTTGTTCTCTGGAACCCTTGCCAGCCCATTCTGAGTTTCTGATTAAAGCCCTTCCCGTCGTCCTGGTGGCCACGCCCTGGCTCCCAGCCCTTCTTACTGGGCTGCTGAAACACAGTGGTGGGCGTTGGCACAGGAAAAAGGGCCCCACTTGGTTTTTCTTTAAAAATCTTTGGAGTCTTATGACATCCTTGATCTTCATTTTTTGGACTCTCAATGAAACAACATAATGTATGTAAAACCCGCAATTTTGAGTCCTTTTGCTGGAATTCATTTGGCCTCTGTCTTGTCAAGAGGAGTAACCGAGGGGATGTTTGGTCCCCATGGCTGGAAGGAAACGGAGGAATGTTTGCCTCATGTACGTTTTATTTGTTAATCTTTCTTTTATTTGAGGAATGTTCTGTTATCAGTGGAAATATTCCCTTCTAGGAAATATTGCAGCACAAACATGTACTGTAAGACCTCGTGGCATTCCTGTGAGTTGGCTAGGATCTTGGAGGAAGAGCAAGTGTCTGATGTTTTTGTCGACAAACCTTTTCCTTTTCACCTTTTCCCTCTCACCTTTGGCCTCTAGACACTTTCCTGACCAAAGTCCATAAACACACATGCAGTCCAGCAGCCACGTGTGTTCTGAAATAGAAAAGGGTGACAAATGTTCTCTGAAGTTCATAACCTTTGGATTTTCACACACTGTGAATAATTCATAGGAGGGACTCTCATGATCCGGTTCTTTTCTTCTTATGATTTGTAAAGGGAAAAATTCTCACTAGAGATGAGAAAGACTGATAAATGGTTCCAGGTTAAATAAAACTAGAGATGTCACAAGTGCAACGTGTGGTTTTGTGCTGAGTTTTGTTTTTTCATTTCCTATAAAACACAAGAGTGGAACAATTGGCAAAATGTGAATAAGGTTTGTCAGTGAAGTACTAGTATTTCAAGATTTTGATCATCATATTGTGATTATTATGAAAATGCCATTGGTTTTAGTAAGCACATAATGAATCATTTATTATGTGAAGGGCTATTATGCCTGCAATGTAGTCTCATGTGGCTCTGAAAAAAATTACATGAAAGACAGAGAAAGAATCGTGAACATAAAATGTCAGGGTTTGGGAAATCAGGGTAAAGAGTATGTAGGAATTCCCTGTACTGCTTTTGTAACTTTTCTATATGTCTGAAATTATTTCAAAATGAAAAATTAAAAAAAAAATTTCTTAAGATGAAGAAATGTTGATAACCAACAGTTTGAAAAAGATCAGTCAGCATTTCACATTCCTGATTGAAAACATAACTTCCCCCTTTCCCCTCGATCTTTCTGTAGCTTCTTAGACTGTTTTGGGCAAAGATAAACAATATTGGAAATATATGGTTAGGGTTTTTTCTTCTTTCCTGCAAGAATATGTGGGAAGGAAGTGATATTTTCTGGAGTTCCTATGGACTCGTCTATAAGCATACCTTCCGATCCTGTCCCCGTCCGTTCCTGCAGAACCCTGCACAGTGGCAGCTGCTGTCTGTTCCCTTCAGAGAAGGAAGCTTTGGCTTATGGGTGGTCGGGTTGTGACGGGAATTCAGGCCTCTCTAGGGTCAGACCCTCTTTGCCACATCTGCTGCTTCCTTGACCCCTGATCATTCTGTGGGTTAGGGAGCCCTCTGTCCTGGAACAAATGACGGCCCTGGCCATGGTCCCGGGGGTGAGGGCAGAGTCTGCTGTGGACACCTGGCTGTGGGCATGAGGGGAGGGTGAGGGCAGAGCCTGCTGTGCAGATACCTGGCTGTGGGCACGAGGGTGAGGGCAGAGCCTGCAGTGGACATCTGGCTGTGGGCACGAGGGGAGGGTGAGGGCAGAGCCTGCTGTGGAGACACCTGGCTGTGGGCACAAGGGTGAGGGCAGAGCCTGCTGTGGAGACACCTGGCCGTGGGCATGAGGGGAGGGTGAGGGCAGAGCCTGCTGTGGAGACATCTGGCCGTGGGCACGAGGGGAGGGTGAGGGCAGAGCCTGCTGTGGAGACACCTGGCTGTGGGCACGAGGGGAGGGTGAGGGCAGAGCCTGCTGTGGACACCTGGCCGTGGGCACAAGGGGAGGGTGAGGGCAGAGCCTGCTGTGGAGACACCTGGCCGTGGGCACGAGGGGAGGGTGAGGGCAGAGCCTGCTGTGGAGACACCTGGCCGTGGGCACGAGGGGAGGGTGAGGGCAGAGCCTGCTGTGGACACCTGGCCGTGGGCACGAGGGGAGGGTGAGGGCAGAGCCTGCTATGGAGACACCTGGCCGTGGGCACGAGGGGAGGGTGAGGGCAGAGCCTGCTGTGGAGACACCTGGCCGTGGGCACGAGGGGAGGGTGAGGGCAGAGCCTGCTGTGGAGACACCTGGCCGTGGGCACGAGGGGAGGGTGAGGGCAGAGCCTGCTGTGGAGACACCTGGCCGTGGGCACGAGGGGAGGGTGAGGGCAGAGCCTGCTGTGGAGACACCTGGCCGTGGGCACGAGGGGAGGGTGAGGGCAGAGCCTGCTGTGGAGACACCTGGCCGTGGGCACGAGGGGAGGGTGAGGGCAGAGCCTGCTGTGGAGACACCTGGCCGTGGGCACGAGGGGAGGGTGAGGGCAGAGCCTGCTGTGGAGACACCTGGCCGTGGGCACGAGGGGAGGGTGAGGGCAGAGCCTGCTGTGGAGACACCTGGCCGTGGGCACGAGGGGAGGGTGAGGGCAGAGCCTGCTGTGGAGACACCTGGCCGTGGGCACGAGGGGAGGGTGAGGGCAGAGACTGCTGTGGAGACACCTGGCTCTTTGTTTTCATCCCACTTAGTGGGAACGGCAGCCTGTCGGAGTCGATCTATTTCCAGCTCCATTGAGTGGGACCTGCTTGAAACAGGCCACCTCTTCGATTCTTGCCTTGGTTTCTGCCCATCCCTACTTGGGGTGGCTCTGAGTCAGCTGCGCCTCCCAGGGGGTGGAGAGGAAGCGAGTGCTCACTTCTGCGAGGAGGCGTGTGACGTGGCTATTCCCGGCTTGTGGTGGGGACGGTGGAGGCAGAGCGGGCACTGGGTGCAGATGCGGAAACTCATCCTGCTTCATGCTCGCTCATGCTCATGAGCTCAGGGAGGCGGTGGACCCCAGCCCTGTGCCGGCTCTCGGGGAGATGGAACATTTGGGGAACCAGAGTACCCACCTTTTCTTCAGTTCAAGGCTATTCTGTCTGAAGAAGAACAGATCAGACGCACAGGTGTTCTCGGCTATAAGAGCAACAGAAGGAAAGAGTGATTTGCTGTCCAAAGATAGAGCTTTCCCTCAGCTCTGCCTCTTTAAAGTCTAAAGAGCATTCAGCATTCCCATAGTCTCCTTTCTGTCTCTTCAGCGTTTCCAAACCCTCTGAGTGTGATTTGTAGGAACGTGTATTACTCGGCTTCCGTTGGCACTGGGAAGGGCACAATACCTCAGCCCAGCAGAACCGTGTACCGCGAGCTGTGTAAGTGGCCATTAAACCCCACACACTTGAAGAGAGCCTGCTGCCATTCCCGCAGGGGACGCTGAGGCGGCTGCCCCTCGGGAGTGTTGGAAACAGCTTCTCTGAGCGACTCCACCATGGGGGCGTCTCTCTTCCTTCCCGGTGTGGGTCAAGGGCTCAGAGATGTGCTCTTTGCCTTGGACCCAAAGCTGTGTGTGGGAGTCCTCGCTGTACAAACCTTGTGTCAGCTGCCAACCACATGCGGTCGTGAGCCCAGGATGCCCGGCTCCTCAGTCCAGAGGGTCTGTCCATGTAAAGCATTTTACATGCTGGATTTTGAAGACTTGGTATGAAAACACATGTGAAGTAGCTTATTAATTTTTTTATGTGGATTGCATGTGGAAGTGATATTTTGCATATGTTGGATTAAATAAACTATATTAAAATTAATCTCACCTGTTTCTTATGGTTTTAATGTAGTTAATAAAGCCATAAATGGCACATGTGCTCACACTGTATTTCTCTTGGACGGTGTGGCTCTGTCGCATTTGCATACTCCTGCACCGAGTTCCATGTTTCAGGGCCGGGTGTGCCTCAGTCGTGTTCTGTCATCCGTCGTGTCTAAGTGTGTTTCCTTCACAAGATCTCTACACCCCAGCAGCCCAGGAGCCGTGCGTCCTGCTCTAGTTTCAGAGCTTCCCTCAAAGCATAGTGGTTCCTGTTTGTTGGATACTCGGTGGAATTCCACATAAACCTCTGGGTTGGCTTTTTGTTTTTCAGGGAGTATGAGTGTTTATGTGCTTTTTATGTGGTTATTATTAAAATGTCTATCAATTATTGTTCATATTTGCTTAATGAAATTTGGAGAGCTGCATAAGAGTGGGGACATTTAACAATGATTGTTTCTAGGAAACTGGGAACAGTCTAAGAGTCAGAGTAGGAAGTTCATTAAAATGACCGAGGACCCTGCCCAGTGGGACCCGTCTCCAACCTGCTGGAAATTAGCTCGCGGAGCACGTTGTGGGTTGAGCTGCCGGTGTGTTCTGACTGAGTGGAACAGAACACTGTGTACCGTGTGTCGCTGAGTCACAGTCGGTTTATGAAGAGGGTCTCTGAAGAGAGTGAGCCTCTGTAGGAGTCTGTGTGGCCCGGTCAGCAGAGCCTAGAGGGCCAGAGCAAGCAGCCTTGACTGCTCCCATCAAGAAAGAGAAGGGGACCCAAGGGGGCTCTATTTGAAGGTGGCCACACATGCTTCTACATTGGAAAAAGCAAAGTGCAGGAACCGACCAATGTGTAAAACTCGGGAAGGATGTTTGCTGTTGAGTAGGACCTCTGATTGCATTGCCTCCCCTGGGAGATGGCGGCCTTTCTTTTAAGAACTTAATGCCTAGGGAGGAAGGGAAGCCCAGCCGCCTCTCCCTCTCAGAGGGAAGCTCTGAAACTAGAGCAGGACGCATGGCTCCTGGGCTGCTGGGGTGTAGAGATCTTGTGAAGGAAACACACTTAGACATGACGGATGACAGAACACGACTGAGGCACACCAGGCCCTGAAACATGGAACTCGGTGCAGGAGTCTGAGCTGGAGCCTAGTTGGAAGCTGGAGCCTGGTTGCAAGCTGAGTGCAAGGTCCTCTCTTTTTGTTTTGGTTTTTTAGTTGCTGTTGGGCACTTAGGGTACAGCATGGAGGTGGCAGGGAGCTGCTGTTTAAGGGAATGCTCTGCAGATGCCCGGGAAGTTGGATGAGAGCATTTAGTCAACTTTTTCATGACTTTTGAATAAAAGTGCTGACCAGGAGAATGTTTCCAGCAGTGTAGGAGAAGATTCTGGTCCATCGTTTCACCACCGTGGACCATTTTCACAAAGCGCACTGCGTGACGTCAATGGGTAATCAATACTGCCCTTTCTAAAGGCCTAGGCTTATGTGTGAACTTTCCTCAGGCCTCAGAGCTGGTGGCGGGACCTGTTTCTGTGTACAGAGGTCTTGCCATGATGGCCTCCTGTGTGAAGGCCCCGCACATCTACAGACATGTGGTGCCCTTCAGCCATGGCACTCTTCTTAAGACTTTCTCCTGAGGACGCTCCTCAAGTCTCCCTCGCTCGCCTGACGAGGTGCTGCCTGTCTTGCTGTTGTACTGGGAAAATGCTATCATTTAGAAAGGATCTCTCAGCTGTGAGTCCTCTCTAGTCATTATCACCATGATGGGCATGCTGTTTCTTATGGATTCAAAAACATGCCCATATTTCACCATATTAAGATCAAAACAAGAGTGATGTTTTAAGTTTTTCATCATCTCTATTGTTTTAAAATCGGATCTAATTGTCACTGGCTTTCTCCAAAAAAATTTTTTTAAGAAGCCTATTTTTCCCCATGACTATGAGAGAGACTTCTTTAAAGAGATGCCAGTTAATGGAATTTTTTAGAATGTCGCATGATTTTCAAAGCCAAAAACAACACAGTGGAAAGACCCTCAGCTCTGTGGATGGTGGGGTGCATTTATCAGAGAGAGAGCAATCTTTCTCCACACAGGTCCCTGGAGTTGCTTGGGGCTGGAGGAGCTGGAGGAAATGCTGGAGAGAATACCCTTGGAAGGCAGGGGCCTTATCTTGCCCAACTGCCTCGCTGGGTGCCAGGTGGAGCTTGGATGGGACAGGGTCTTCTCCTCCATCTCCTACAATCAAGGGAATCTGGTGTTGTCTGCGTCTGTGCCCTGTGTCCTAAGGTGTATGTTCCCTGTCTAGGCCTCATTTTTCTCTTACCGAAAGTGAAGGAGTGGGATCGACTCTACGGACGCCTCCAAGTTCAGTGTCCTGCCTTTTTGTGACTCTGTGAGGAGGTGACAGGTGCCTGGGGTAGGGGGACAGGAGGTGTCCATCCCGGCCTTTCTGCAGTGCTGATCCAAGGTGGAGCTGAGGGTAGTTCAGCAGTTCTTACTCTCATATCAGGACCCTCTGGCCTTGTGTCTCAGACAACTATTCCTTCCACACATATCTGCTGAGGCCCTGCCGTGCACTGTGAAAGAGGAGGGGTGCTGCGCTTCCTGACTTAGGACATCAAACGTGCAGTGTGAGCTGCGGATCTCACACGAGCCTGGGAAGGCCACAAAGCTCAATGACAAGTTAGACTCAGCATGTTTTCCCTTTAAATTGAGACAGGGTCTCTCTCTGTTGCCCAGGCTGGAGTATAATGGTGACAGAGAGAGACCCTTTGAAGGCTCACTACAGCCCAGAACTCCCAGGCTTAAGCGATCCTCCTTCCTCCGTCTCTGGGTAGCTAGGACTACAGGTATGCGCCACCATGCCTGGCTGATTTTTAAATTTTTTTGTAGAGACAAGGTCTCACTATGTTGCCCATAGAGAGCTTGAGGTTGGATCCAAGTTCTCAAGGGGACGGAGGTGAAGAAGAAAGACCAGGCCTGGACCCTGAGCAGGCTGTAGTGGATGCATGGTTTGTGTGGAGCACACGGTGGGGGTAGGGAAGGGATCTGGGCCAGACCCAGCCTACAAGGGCCTCCCCTGCTCCCTGCAGAAGCAGTTCCTTATTCCTGACTGCAAGAAAGAGGCTTGGATGGCCACACTGGCCTCCTGCTCAGAAGCCAGAGTGTGACCTGGGGGTGACCAGCCGGCATGGCAGCCCTGTGTAGCTCAGCTTGTGGGGGGCTGTGGCCTGGCTGTGAGGTGGTGTGGGCACGGCCAGCCAATGTTTCAGCCCTGTGTGTCTCAGCACAGGGGCCACGGGAGCCAGAGGGAACCCAGGTCTCGGCTCTCATTGCCTCAGAGGCCAAGGAGAGGGCAGAGGATGGGAGAGAAAATGGCAGAAACTCCCAGGCCTCTGCCTTAAGCCCCGAGGAAGAGTGTGAGGATGAGACCAAGGTATGAGGTGAAGGGCATCTGTGCTAAGGAGGCTGAGCCTTTCTGTTCAGAAACCTCTGCAGGCAACCTCCAGAGACGCAGCAGAGCAGCCACCGGCAGGGCTGCAGAAAGCGGGATCACGGCCCCTGCCTGGGAGTGGGAGGTGCAGACACAGGGGCTGGGGTGCCTGGGAGTGGGAGGTGCAGACACAGGGGCTGGGGTGCCTGGGAGTGGGAGGTGCAGACACAGGGGCTGGGGTGCCTGGGAGTGGGAGGTGCAGACACAGAGGGGCTGGGGTGCCTGGGAGTGGGAGGTGCAGACACAGGGGCTGGGGTGCCTGGGAGTGGGAGGTGCAGACACAGAGGGGCTGGGGTGCCTGGGAGTTGGAGGTGCAGACACAGGGGCTGGGGTGCCTGGGAGTGGGAGGTGCAGACACAGGGGGGCTGGGGTGCCTGGGAGTGGGAGGTGCAGACACAGAGGGGCTGGGGTGCCTGGGAGTGGGAGGTGCACACACAGGGGCTGGGGTGCCTGGGAGTGGGAGGTGCACACACAGGGGCTGGGGTGCCTGGGAGTGGGAGGTGCAGACACAGAGGGGCTGGGGTGCCTGGGAGTGGGAGGTGCACACACAGGGGCTGGGGTGCCTGGGAGTGGGAGGTGCACACACAGAGGGGCTGGGGTGCCTGGGAGTGGGAGGTGCACACACAGGGGCTGGGGTGCCTGGGAGTGGGAGGTGCACACACAGGGGCTGGGGTGCCTGGGAGTGGGAGGTGCAGACACAGGGGCTGGGGTGCCTGGGAGTGGGAGGTGCAGACACAGGGGGGCTGGGGTGCCTGGGAGTGGGAGGTGCAGACACAGGGGCTGGGGTGCCTGGGATTGGGAGGTGCAGACACAGGGGCTGGGGTGCCTGGGAGTGGGAGGTGCAGACACAGGGGCTGGGGTGCCTGGGAGTGGGAGGTGCAGACACAGGGGCTGGGGTGCCCACTCGGAGGCCCCAGGCTGCGGTCCCATGAGGGGATGGCTGAGGCCTTCCCAGGGTGAACACGTACAGGCTCCTGAGAGCGCACACCAGGCCCCCAACTGCCCATGAGAGAATCCGGGAATAGAAGGAGCCGGGATCTCCGTCTTTAAGGTGGAAAGCTTCTTTGGCTGCTATGGAGTGCAGTAGGGTGCTTGGAATGTGAACGAAGGCCACAGAGCTGTGGAAAGACAGTGGGGCGTGGGGCGTGGGGCCTGAAGACATGGCTTATGGCTTGAGTTTTACTACGTATTTGATGACTCTTGTGACATTTACTTAAGTTCTCTGAGTTTCCATTTCACCTTTAAAATTGGGAGAACAATAATGGCGACATTCTGAGCTGGTCAGGTGGCCAGGATGGGCAGAGGCACGAAAACCAATGCCTGCGACATGAGGTGGTCCTGTGAGGTTGACAGAGCCAGGCACAGGGACAGAGAGAGAGAGAGAGAGAGGGAGAGGGAGAGAGAGAGGGAAAAGGGTGCTGAAGCCCAGGAGTTCCCTGTGATTTCACCCTGGGTGGTTCGTCCCTGCTTAGCCGGGATTCTTCATCTGAAATGTGGGTGTGGACATCGTCTGTGAGTGTATTGTGAGGAACATGCAGGAGCTGACCACATCCGTGTCCATGACATGCGGTCAGAGGCTCTGGGTCACTTTGAATTCAGGGCTCTGGCAACAGCTGGGGAGGGCAGCCTGGGACGTTTTCGGGGGAAGGGGGAAGGAAAGGTTTTCAGGACAGTTTGGAAAACCAAAGTTCATTGATGCTCTCCCTCTTCTCCCATGTCTCCAGATGCTGGGGTTTTGTTTTACAAAAATTTAAAATAGTTTTCTGCAGCCACTTTTGTTCTGATCATTATCCAATGAGAAAAGATCACCACCTTTCTGGGAAGAGTTATTGGTGGTTGTCCACCCACCTCACTGAGGTCTCTGCTCTGGGAGGAGGGGAGGAGGCAGTCAGGCTGCTCGGGAGGCTGAGCCCAGGAGTCACCAGCCCTGAGATGTCCCCCAGAGCGGGCGTAGGGTACCACCTGCCAGGAGAGGGGAGCAGCGGGGTCACAGTTCAGGGATGCCCCCACCCATCTACAGGTTTTGCAGGAATCACACATAGTTAGCCTTTGTACCAGAAGCACGGTACAGAGCTCAGCAGTGTGCTTTCAGACAGCCCCACCAGAGAACAGGCCCTTTCCCAGGAGCTTTCGTGTGGGACCCTCAGGGGGGTCGTGGGATGCTGCTGTCCCTGCGTCTGAGTCCTGTTTGTGGGGTGGAACTGGTCACCTGATCTCAGCTGGGCACAGCTAGTGACCAGACAGACACAGCAGATGCTGTCTGGTTTTAGCATAGACTGAGGTTTGGGCAGTTAGGATCTGTGTATCTAGGATTTTGGGAAAAGCCAGTGGCTTTTCTTGGGCAGCGGCAAGGTGAGATGTACCAGGGTCATGTCCCAAGCCCGGTCCAAGCAAGGCTCCCCCATGCCCTTTTGCTTTGTCAGCCAAGGGTCTGTGTTACTCACTCGAGATGTGCACATCAGGCTGGAAACCCGTCAGACTCTAGATGCCACGAGGGCTCATTACTAACTAAAAAGTGCCTTTAAAAACCGTGGAAGAGTGTCTCCATCTGGAGATTGCCTCTCTCCCTGCTCCCCTTTCTCCACAGGCGCTATTGGAAAAAATAACAGCAGCTCTCATCGTTCTGGAGATCTAATTCTCAGGAAGTGTGCATTTCAATCTGCCAGCCACAGCGAAAAGCCATGGTGTCCTAAGCAGCTGTGTCCCCTCTATGTTATTATTCTTTGTGCGGCTTTCTTTGATTGGGATGAGCTCTCTAGCATTTAGGAAATTGCAAGCATATAATATTTTACATCAGTGTAGGTCCTATATTCTGATTCAGTAGCCACAAAATACATTTTTTTTTTTGAAAATCCTCCCTTTCTTTTTTTCCTCATTGGAAGTTTACTGAAACCTCTGGCATTAAACTCAGCATTTACAGGGCTGACATTACAGGTGCCCGGAGGTTTTGGCTGGGAAGCGGGGGTGCTGATGCATCATCAGTGGGAATGTTTTTGTTGTCTCTCTTTAAAAAATGGTCTTTTTTTGTAGAGATGGGCTCTCTGTTGTCCAGGCTGGTCTCGAATTCTAGGCTTCAGTGATTCTCCTCCTCTGGCCTCGAGTCACTGGGACCACAGGTGCATGCCACTATGTCCAGCTAATATTTGTAGAGATGGGGTCTTGCACTGTTTGCTCAGGATGGTCCTGAAATCCTGGGCTTAAGTGATCCTCCTATTTCAGCCTTCCAAAGTGCTGGGATTACAGGCAGGAGCCAATGGGCCCAGCCCTGAGCATTTCTGTTTATCTAAAGCTCTGCTGCCGCCTGTGTAACCTGACCTCACATTTATTCTTCCCACTTCAGGGAGGGAGCAACACACACTTGTAGTGTTTCTGGCACACTCAGCACTCACCTTAGAAATGTTGGGGTCTTTCTCCTCCCACCTGGAGGAGAGAACAGAAAACCAGAGTCCCCACCTGGGATGTACTTTTCCCACTCACATCATCCAGAACAGCCAAAATCCATCTCCAGGTCCAGCATCCCAGCTCTCCTGGGCTTGGACTATCATTTCTAAACTCCATAGATGACTTTTACCTTTCACGGCATTTGGCAGCTCAGCTGCATTTCATGCTGTGGAAGACTCAGGAGCTAACATCTCATCTTCACCTCTTCATCCTTCATTTTCCCAAAGAAAGCTTTCATCGTATTTCAGTGAGGCAGAGTCATGTTAGCCAACCCCACTTCTGACACCAACTTCACTGGGGTCCTTAAGACCAACTACAGACTTGGTGATTTGCTAGGATTCACAGGGCTCAGCATGAGGTTTTACTCACAGGTAGAATTCATTACAGTGAAAAGACATAGAGCTAAGCCAGCAAAGGGAAAAGGTGCACAGGTTGGAGTCTGGAGGAAGACAGTGCAGGCTCCCAAAACTCCCTCCCAGGAGAGCCACACGGGCATGTTTGCCTCTCCAGTGATGCGTTGCAAGGGTGTGCGGAACACCATCTATCAGCGCTGCTCATCGGAGCCTGGGAGTTCGGGGTTGGATTGTGGGTTGGCCACATGGGCATATTGAGCTTGCGTGACTGACCACAATCCGAATTCCTGACTTTCAGAAGAAAATCAGGTGCTCAGCTGGCATCACATTGTTTATACAGAGGGTGTGCGCACAGTGAGGAACTCTTACAATTTTAGGGGCTATTTTATACCAGACCACAGGGTAGAGAAATGTTTACCAGTTGAGTGCTCAGACACAGGATGGCCACTTTTCCAGGCAGCCTTTCTAGGGATCGCATTCTCAGGCTTGCTGCTTGCCTTTCTGCACAGCGTGTCATCAGTGGGAAAAAAAAATCATACGGCGAGATTTTACATTTTTTAATGTGAAGTCCTTGAAATCCAGTGTGTATTTTTATGCACCGGACACTTTGGTTTTGACTGGCCACGTTTCATATGTGCGGCACCCGCGTGTCTGGTGGCTGCTCTGTGGGAAAGTAGAGCTCCGGTGTGTGGACGTCATGACGCGGCCATCCCGCCACAAGCACAGCAAGAACCGCTGTGTACAAGATCATGTGGAGGAGGTGGCGTGTGGACGTCGTGATGTGGCCATCCCGCCACAAGCACAGCGAGAACCGCTCTGTACACGATCATGTGGAGGAGCTGGCATGTGGACGTCGTGATGTGGCCATCCCGCCACAAGCACGGCAAGAACCACTGTGTACAAGATCATGTGGAGGATCTGGCATGTAGACGTCGTGATGTGGCCATCCCGCCACAAGCACAGCGAGAACCGCTCTGTACACGATCATGTGGAGGAGCTGGTAGTAAATTTTGATCTAACGCACTATTTAGTGAAACATTATGGATTAGATTGAAAATTGTCAAAAGTTAATGAAGGTATCTGAACAGTGTGTGCTTAAATTTCTCATCCAGAATTCCAGGAAGTCAACCTTAATCTCTCATAGATAAGATTTGAATCTGTCAGTGTTGAAGATCAATAGTGAAGACATCAAGATCTCCCTGCAGATGATTAATTTTGAGATTACAAACATAACACAGCTTTGTTTTCACAAATCTGTGACTTGTTTTGGCGTAGAGACCATTTGGTATCTAACTATATTGTATAATTTGCCCAAATGAGGAAGGCAGTATGACTGTTGCTCAGAAAATATTTTGCTGCTGATCTGTTAGGTGGTAACTGATCCCTGTGGGGTGATCCAGTGGGCGGTAACCCGTCCCTGTGAGTGATTCACTGGGTGGTAACCAGTCCCTGTGGGTGATCCAGTGGGTGGTAATTGATCCTTGTGGGTGATCCAGTGGATTGTAACCAGCCCATGTGGGTGATCCAGTGGATATGGTAACCAGTCCATGTGGGTGATCCAGTGGGTGATAACTAATCCCTGTGAGTGATCCAGTGAGTGGTAACCAATCCCTGTGGGTGATCCAGCAGGTGGTAATTGATCCCTGTGGATGACCCAGTGGGTGACAACTGATCCCTGTAGGTGATCCAGTGGGTGGTAACCAGTCCCTGTGGGTGATCCATTGGGTGGTAACCAGTCCATGTGGGTGATCCAGTGGGTGGCAGTCGATCCCTGTGGCTGACCCAGTGGGTGGTAACATCCCTGCAGGTGACTCAGTGGGTGGTAGCTGATCCATGTGGGTGATCCAGGGGGTGGTAACCAGTCAATATGGGTGATCCAGTGGGTGGTAATGATCCCTGCGGGTGATCCAGTGGTTGGTAACGACTTTGTGCAGGTGATCCAGTCAGTGGCAGCCAATCCCTGCAGGTGATCTGGTGGGTGGTAACTGATCCATGTGGGTGATCCAGGGGGTGGTAACCAGTCGATATGGGTGATCCAGTGGGTGGTAATGATCCCTGCGGGTGATCCAGTGGTTGGTAACGACTTTGTGCAGGTGATCCAGTCAGTGGCAGCCAAACCCTGCAGGTGATCTGGTGGGTGATAACTGATCCATGTGGGTGATCTGGTGGGTGGTAACTGATTTTCCTAGTGATCTGTGGAGTGATAGTTGGTCACTTCTGGGTGTTTAACACAATCTATGTGTTAGATGTGACTAATTCAAGAGCAAAGTTCTTTCCACCCCAATTTCTGTTCTGTTCAGTTTGGGAATTCTTTGACAGAAACCTGTATTGGGGAGAATGAGGATTCAGTGCACAAAACACCCCTAAGAACCATGACTTTTGTTTTTATTTTTCCATTATCTGACTGGTTTATAAAAAGTGTGAGCAGTGTTTTAAATCCAAGGCACCAGCAGCTGATGGCTGCTTCTGGTCCCCTTCCCTGCACTCCTGTCTATGTCCTCCCTCCTGGGAGTGGATCTATGCATCTCTCCTTGGCCTGTCACCAGAAACAATTCTCAGAATCAGGTCATTGGCCTATGGAGAAAGAGTGAGTTTCTAGACCCCTTTTGAAACTGACATGTTGTTTGACCTTGAATACAGGTGTAGCATTTCTGTGTTTATTGTTAGACTTTAAATTTTCCTAGTTTACTAGCAGCTAGAAATACTAAACTCACGAAGAATGAGGCTGAGCCCCGGACAAGCTGAGGTCACCATTTCCCTCCCTGCCCCATCTTTGTCTCTTCTTACTCAGCCCGGAGAACAGCTAAAAACGCCACCACTTAACGTGCATTTGTGTAAGAGTTTGTTCCCCCAAAAAGCCTATTGAGCATTACTTGTGGTTTATAAGTTTAAGGAATGAACATTGAGTCATTTCTTTAGCAGCATCTTTATTGGGAACATTTACAGGGAACATTTTCTAATTTTCTCCAAGTTAATTCCTTTTCTTGCTTTTGCTCTCTCTCTCACTCTCTCCCTCTCCTCCCTCTCTCGCTCCCTCGCTGTCCATTTCCCCCTCTCTCTCTGCGTGTGTCTCTTTGCCTACATTAATGTTGTTTTGTCTGAAATATGTGTGTTGAAGTTCCCATGTTTCCTTGAAGACATGGGAAGTTCCTGGAAAGTAACGAGACTGATCTTCTCCTGTGCCCTTTTAAGAAGTTAGTTGATGACTGTGCCCCACTTTGCTGCATGGTCTCTGGGGGGTTGAACTCCTTTGCTCCTGAATAGGCGTAAACTTGCCTTCCAGGGCTGCAGCCTCCTGTGCTCAGCACCCCCATTTGTGTGTCCCTGTGATTGCAGGAAGGCTCTGGGAAGCTGCGCTTGGGCAAACCCTTAGCGTGACCCCCTGACTCCCCCAGGGAGTCACACATTGATTGTCATCTGATCTCCTGGGATGTGTATTGGCATTTGTCTGAGTAACTTGGTGCTTCTGTGAGAATAGTGCTGTTTCTTAGGTTTTTTTTTTTTTTTTGACAGTCTCACTCTGTCATCCAGGCTGGAGTGCAGTGGTGCGATCTGGGCTCATTGCAAGCTCCGCCTCCCGGGTTCACACCATTCTTCTGCCTCAGACTCCCGAGTGTCTGGGACTACAGGCGCCCGCCACCACGCCCGGCTAATTTTTTGTAGTTTTTGTAGAGACGGGGTTTCACCATATTAGCCAGGATGGTCTCGATCTCCTGACCTTGTGATCTGCCCGCCTTGGCCTCCCAAAGTGCTGGGATTACAGGCGTGAGCCACCGCGCCCGGCCCGTTCCTTAGTTTTTACTTGTCACACAGTGTGCATGACAGAGTGACTAGATAGGGGTTCTTTCTGTTTTTATTTCTAGATTGAAATTTTGCATGGTAACAGCAGACAGGTAATACCTGTCTAGGTGGCTGCCACCGCAAAGCCCATGTTATCACTCTGAGTGTCAGGACTGAGTGCCATAGTGGTCTTGAGAATTCTCTATGAACTCTGTGGACTGCAGAGCCCTTCTCATTACAAAAGAACTGCCATTACACACAGATAGAAACAGCAATAGCACAGCAGCTCCCCCGTCCCTGACGGTGGCTGCCAGCAGCCTTCGTAGCACAGTCTGTGCATAAAGCAGGAGGAAAAGCCACCGGCCGCCCTGTCCTGCTGCCGGGGTTGCGCACCGGGCGAGGGCTCTGGGACGTCGGGTAGCAGCACCACCTGCTGGACACCGGTGGCTGCACTCGGCTGCACCTGCGGCTGGAACGGCTTCAGGCTCCCAGGAAGGCGCCTCCCAAGAGAGACTTTCTAGTTCCCTCTGGGATGGCATCCCTGGCTCCGGGTGCGCCCGCATCTGCCAGGAAGACTGTCTTTCAATTGAACACAGCAGCCGAGTCATGCTTTACAGTTGTTCTTACTGTAAGAACAACCCAGGAGCCCGGGGAGCTGCATCTGCAGGGCTGCCCCACACTCTCTACCAGGAATCTCCCGGGGTCCACTCTCGTTCCTGTCAGGGGCTGGGCGCCAGGTGGTTTGGGCCCTGGGGACGGGGGCAGGGGTCCTGGCAGCAGAGGGGTCCTGTCAGCAGGGGCTCCCTCACACAGGACGTAATTTTGCGGGAAGGATTTTCATGTTGCGCTGGCCTTGCACTTGCTGCGACAGGCCCCTTACGTCCGCGCGGCTCAGCCCTGCCCTTACACGAAGCGTAGAGACGGTGGCGGCTGTGTTCCAGTAAGATGTGGCCCGTGGAGCCTGTGGTGGCTGCAGGTTGCTGATCCTGGACCCACAGGTTGCCGGGCCCCTCGGTGTGCCTGCCAGTCTCACACCAACCGGCCCAGGCCCCGCTGGCTTCAGCCTGGTCACCACCTCCACGCGCGGCGCTGTCTGCTCTTGGCCGGGCCATCCTGTCCTGGCCCTCCCTGCCCACGGCTCCGGGAAGGGCTCTGCCAAGAGACTTCTCCATTCCCACCCGTCACTTTTGAGGATCCGGCTCCCCGGTCCCTCCTGTGCCAGCCAGCATGTGCCATGGCTCCCCGACCCTGTGCCAGCCCGTGTGTGCCATGGCTCCCGACCCCGTGCCAGCCCATGTGTGCCATGGCTCCCCAACCCTGTGCCAGCCCGTGTGGGCCATGGCCCCACCGAACCCGTGCCAACCCGCGTGTGCCATGGGTTCCACCGACCCCGTGCCAGCCCGCGTGCGCCATGGCTTCCCTGATCCCATGCCAGCCCGCGTGTGCGCCATGGCTCCCCCGACCCCGTGCCAGCCCGCGTGCGTCATGACCCCACCGCGTGTGCGCCATGGCTTCCCCGACCCCATGCCAGCCCGCGTGCGCCATGGTTCCACTGACCCTGTGCCAGCCAGTGCGGGCTGATCTGCTGCCCAGCTGTGGGCGTCCTGAACCCCAGGCCGTGGGACAACTTGGGCCGGGAGAGAAGATCTTTCACTTTGATTTGGGGCATAGGTGGAGGCTCCCCCTACGGCCCTGTGTGGAGGACCCTGTTTCCTGGGTGCTGTGATGCCACTGGCCTCGACCCTGGCTCCTCATGCGTGTCGCCTGCGGGCGTGAGGTCCGTGCAGAGGAAGGAAGAAAGAGGAAGTAAGACGTGAGCTCGGCCAGCCCCGGGTGCAGGAGGAGTGGGCGAAGCGGGCGACAGGGTCCCATGCCTTCCCCTTCCTTCCTCAGGCCCGGCCTCCATCTCTCCCACCACACCAGGCGCCTGCTGGGTGATGGCGGGGTCACAGCAGGGGAGACGTTGGCTCCTCCGCTCTGCTCCCTGAGCCCCACGGGGCCTGAGTGCAGAGGAAGGAGGTGAAGTAAGCGGTGACAGTGGGTTCCTCAAGGCGCCGTGGAAGGCGAGGCTGCGTTCTCAGAGCCAGGCCGGGGTTGCAGTGTGGAAATGCCGCGGCGCTGCCCGGCCCCACGTCTCCCTGCTGCTCCAGCGCAGCCCAGGCCACCCTTCTCACTGCCCCTGGGGCTGAGTGAGCAGGGCTCAGGCCGTGGGGAGCCAGCCTTGTCAGACACTGCCTTTCGCCATGAGTGACCGGGCAAACACCTCATGCTTTGGAGCAGAGGCGCGTCCTGGCCTGAAGCCACTCGGGAGCCAGGGCTGGTGTTAGGGTGGGAGCAGGGCCCGTGGGCGTGACTGCCGCCATCTTGGCGGGGGGACGCCAGGGTGAGAGCAGGGCCCGTGGGCGTGACTGCCGCCATCTTGAGGAGTCGCCGGGGTGGGAGCAGGACCTGTCGGGGTGGCTGCCGCCATCTTGAGGGGACGCCAGGGTGGGAGCAGGGCCCGTGGGCGTGACTGCCGCCGTCTTGAGGGGATGCTGGGGTGGTTGGAGGTCGTGGCTCTGGAGAGGTTGGGTATTTAGAGATACAGCTGAAGGGATTTGTGGGTGGAAAGGACGTGTGGTTCCTGGAGTAGATGGGATCAGGGATGCATCAAGGGTCCAGCCTGTGCTGTGGAAAGCCAAGTTGCCATTTGTCGGCAGGAAAAGGAGGAACTTTCCTAGTTCAGGCACAGGTGCGGACCAGGCCGTTGGGCGTGAGTCTGGGATTCAGGATGGGTTCGTGGCAGACACCACGCTGGATAGTCCCAGCTGTAGACAGTGTTTAGAGCCACGGATTGGCTGGGGCCGCCCAGGAGTGAATGCGGATCCAGGAGAGAGGATGAGGAGGGAGGGGTCTGCAAGAGGAGCCCTGGGCTTCCGGAGCTGAAACTCGGGAAGATGCGAACATTCAAGCAGAAAAGAAGAGGAAGGCACAGTCGGGCCAGTGCCTGCCGGGGCAGGACCCCACACGTGGGCGCGTGCCAGGGCGTGTGCTCCCCAGGACGGGCCTCCCCGCTGCAGCTTCCTCATTGTGGGTCACTCTTTTTCTGGCAGGTCCTCTTTCTCCTACATGTCCTCGTTCCCACCCCCCTTGCAGTGTCCCCGGTTGTCCTCAGGTCAGTTCAGGGACCCGGCAGATGTTCTGCTGTCAGGAACGGGCAGAGAGTAGAGCTAAGAGGCTTTTGTGGGGGCCGTCCTGGGACGCAGGTCACGCGGGCCCTCCAGAGAACACAGGCACCCACAGTGACCCTTTGGTCTAATGGAACCGGCGCTTTTCTCTTGGTGGCAGATGAGTAAAAATAGCGTTGATTTTCTGCTAACAGGAAATGGGAGTCGTGGAAGATACTTATCTGGGCCCAGCAGCTTTTAGTACATTTTCAAAGCGAGGCACACACACAAAGAGACACTCGGACAAATCGCTGCAATGTGTCCCGTCTTGCTTCTCCAGGGGACCCAGGTCTTTAGGACGCCTTATCTGCCCGGCAGCACCTGCCTTGGTGCCGCGGGGCTCAATACTCAGGGACTGCAAGTGAAGTCACCTGGAACGGGAGAGTCCAAAACAGTGACTCGGGGCTGGGTTTTCAATCTCATGCCCGGCTGAAGTTAATTTTGTGATCTCAAGATGCAGCTTCTTGATAACATGGTACCAAAAATCATGAGGAAATACAGCATGGCCCATTTTGCTTTATTTGATGATTGTGATACAATTTGACAGGGACGCAGATTTACAAAAGAGCACTTCCCAGAGAAAATCATTCAATATCCCTTTGTTCAACCTTTTAATTATTCAAAGAATACATAAAATAATGCCTCTTACCAAGCGCTTCCTGCGGGTCACGTCATGTCACTTGCAGCACCATTTATGAAGGAACATTTGGTATACAGGTGAGAAAACATCTTTGAAGATAAAATACAGCACAGTTAGTAAATTGTAAGAGCGAAATCTAAACCTGACCTGTTCATCTGACCATTACTTCTCACCTTTCCTTGTAGAAAAATTTGTAGAATATTTCTTTTTTTCTTTTTCTTTTTTTTTTTTTTTTTGAGATGGAGTCTCGCTCTGTCACCCAGGCTGGAGTGTAGTGGCACGATCTTGGCTCACTGCAACCTCCGCCTCTCGGGTTCAAGCATTTCTCCTGCCTCAGCCTCCCGAGTAGCTGGGATTACAGGCATGTGCCACCGTGCCCGGCTAATTTTTTTGTATTTTTTTAGTAGAGATGGGGTTTCACCATATTGGCCAGGCTGGTCTCGATTTCCTGACCTTGTGGTCCACCCGCCTCAACTTCCCAAAGCGCTGGGATTACAGACGTGAGCCACCGCGCTCGGCCCTAGAATATTTCTTATATTAAAAGATCGAGTGAAGCCAAGGAAAAATTCACCTGTATCTCCTGCCCTGCAGTAATCACTTTGATTATTTGGATTCCTATTTTGTTTATATTTTCTTCACATAGACCATGTAAATAGCATAAGAATATGCATACTACATTCTATTTTTTTAACTTAACATTGTATTGCCAATATCTTTCCATATTCATTTTTCCAAAACATTATTTATCATATTCCATTGTGTGCCTATACCATAATTTACTTCAATTATAGGATATCTATCTTGTTTCTGATATTTTGTTACTTTAAAAAATAGTGCAGTGACTCTGTGTCTTTTCACACATTGGATAAATGTATTCTGTTGCCCTGGCTGGAGTGCAGTGGTGTGATCTCGGCTCACTGCAAACTCTGCCTCCCAGTTCAAGTGATTCTCCTGCCTCAGCCTCCCAAGTAGCCAGGATTACAGGCACCTGCCACCACACCTGGCTATTTTTTTGTTTTTATTTTTTAATAGAGATGGGGTTTTGCCATGTTGGCCAGGTGGGTCTTGAACTCCTGACCTCAGGTGATCTGCCCGTCTTGGCCTCCCAAAGTGCTGGGATTACAGGCGTGAGCCACTGCACCTGGCTGATAAATGTATTTTAAAAGGGAAAGCACACTTTTAGTACCCTTGATAATTATTGCGTTCATGAAGCTTTTCCTAGTTCATGCTCACTATTTTTAATAACTCAGAAGATGTGTACTGCGTGGCATGCTGTGCTGGGACATGTCCAGGTGCTCCTTGCAGGCATTAGAGCATCGTCATTCAGACGGGTCCTCACCTGGGGCGTCATGCATTTCCTAGATCAGATGAGTTTTAAAGGAGGAGAGTAACTAATGACCTTAGTGGCTAAAGGCGGTCTCAAATCCATGTTTATCTTACCCCCTTTTCCCACAACTGTTAAGAAACAATCATTTCAAGGCCCTGGTAGACTCATTGGAACCACTTGGAAGCAAAGTAACTTGAAGAGTAAGGGGATGAGTTCTGGGCATGCCGTTTGCTCCTGCTGATCCTGACTCTGGTTCCTCCACTTGGACTTTGTCCTTGCCCTCCCGGGAGTGCCCTCTCCCAGTGGGTTCTCCTCCAGTGGCACTGACCTCTCCTTTTTGGTTGAGTTTTCTAGTTCCATTTTCTCTCCAGGTGTGGAGGAGTGCAGGCCTCCTGCCCAGCTCATGGAGCCTGCATTGATGGAACCACCTTGTAAAATAATCCGACCCATTTTGCAGAGCTGAAAGGATGTGCCTCCTTGTGACCCCATATTTCCCAGTACATCCTAGAGCCCAGGTTTTTAACTTTCAGAGCTTAGGACCTCTTGATGCTATTACTAAGGGCCAACAATTCCCCAGAGCTTCTGTTTATGTCTCTTGATGTTTATTGCATTCGAAATTAAAATGGAGAACATTTCAAATTATTTAGTGCTTCATTTAAAAATAATCCTTTGGGAGGCCAAGGATCATTTGAGGTCAGGAGTTCAAGACCAGCCTGGCCAACATGGTGAAACCCCGTCTCTACTAAAAATACAAAAATTAGTTGGGTGTAGTGGTGGGCGTCTATAATCCCAACTACTCAGGAGGCTGAGGTGGGAGAATCATTTGAGCCAGGGAGATGGAAGCTGCAGTGAGCTGAGATCACGCCACTGTACTCCAGCCTGGGTGACAGTGTGATACATGATCTCAAAAAAATAAAAATAAAATAAAAATAATCAACATATTTCATATTAATAAAAGAAACAGGTATATATGAAAAAACACCTATTGTCCACAAAACACCTTACCAAATTTGTGATGAGTAGCATTATTTTATGTTATTTTTTCAGACTTCTCTAATTTCTGGTATATTAGAAGCATGTGGAGTCTCATGTTTGCATCTTTGATGTGACATGTTATTTTGGTTCAGGTATATGAAGAAAATGCATTCTCACACAAATATGGAGTTAGGCCATATTGATAAACACTTTGTCATTCCTTATGTTGAAATCTGTTGGTCTGTTTTATGCTTTGGAAGGTTCTTTTGCTCATACATGAGATTATAGCATCATGCACTGGTCATTTGGAAATTATTGGTTCACTGAATTATGCAGGTCTTCAAAATGCTGACAGATCCTATACAACATGGAAAAATCTCATTCATTAATATCACTACCAATTTCATCAGAAAAGCCTTTAAAGTTTTGGAAAGCTTCCTGGCTCATGGTGTTAAATACAGATATTCGAAATTTCTATGTTTCTTTTTTTTCTTTTTTCTTTTTTTTGAGATGGAGTTTCGCTCCATTGCCCAGGCTGGAGTGCAGTGGTGCATTCTTGGCTCACTGCAACCTCCGCCTCCCAGGTTCAAGCAATTCTCTGCCTCAGCCTCCCGAGTAGCTGGGATTACAGACACTTGTCACCACGCCCGGCTAATTTTTGTATTTTTAGCAGAGACGGGATTTCGCCATGTTGGCCAGGCTGGTCTTGAACTCCTGACGTCGTGATCCACCCACATCAGCTTCCCAAAGTGCTGGGATTACAGGCGTGAGCCACCGTGCCTGGCCCAAATTTTTAAATTTCTAATTTTTGCTTGGAAGCTTAAATTTGATCACTGATAGCAAATACTTTCAGTTGTTTTTCTGAAAGTTATAGTGTCTTTGATTCTTTTTTAAAAATAGAATGTCTGCCATGTTGCCAAATCCCAATGACTGTGGTTTTGTCCATCAGTCTTTTTTCACATAAAAACAGAGTTGCGTGAAAGAAAGTGCCGAGTGGAGCTGACGCTGTCACAGTGAAATTGAGAAAGAAAGTGCCGAGTGGAGCTGACGCTGTCACAGTGAAATTGAGTGCTTCCGTTTAAGACAGTCGTTTCCTTTGCAGCAGAAGCGCTTTATGGGACTTTCCATTTGGTCAGTCACTCAGATGGCTGAAAAGAGCTGAGATTTAATAAAACTGATCTTGGTTGATGCCTCATCAAGGATGTTCTTTAGTGAAACAGACTCTTTTTAAACTGCAAGTGTTTGCTGTGGAAGGTGCCATGAGGACTTGTGCCACTGGTGCTGGCTGTGTTGACTTCTTTGGAGACACCAGCAAGCAGCTAGCTCTCCCCTATGTGTGCACTGTTAGGCAACCCTCATCATTATAATGAAAGTAGTTTTGACGTCTTGAACCCCTGAAAGAGTGTCAGTGGCTCCCAGGAAAAGGTTGTCCACACTGCCTAAGAGAAATTTTTTTAAGGTGCATAATGTGGCATTTTTAAAGTTACCAGTTTTTTGTGTAGTGAGAAAATTCGAGATCTATTCTCAGCACATTTTATGTGCGCAATACAGTATTATTAACTATAGTCACCATGTTGTACAATAGAACCCCAGAACCTGTTCATCTATAAGTGAAAATTTGTATTACCCTTTGACATTTCTCCATCCCTCTCGCCTCCCTTCAGCCCCTAGGAGAAACTCTTATACAAGTGACCAAGAAATGTGTTCAAAATGTTCACGGACGCAGTATCTGTAATACTAAAATTTGGAAACACATATAAATGTTCATTGACTAGAGAATGTATAAATTGTGTTGTATTTATAATGTAACTGAATATTACACAGCAGTGGAAAATGAACTGCAGCTTCATACATCAGAAAGGGTATATCTTAGAAACATCCCATAGAGAATAAAAAGCAAGTCATACAGGGAGACATATAATAGGATTGGATTTAGATAAAGTTTAAAAACCTGGAAAATAAGCAATATATTGATTATGGTTACATATATGATACAACCATAATAAAAATCAAGGGACTAATTAGTTGAAAATGCATGACACTGGTTAGCCTGGGTGGGGAAGAAGATGGCCAGGGAGTTGTGTCCAGGAGTCTTTGAGGGTAGGGCTGGTATGGTAGGTTCATTGATGTAACTTTCCTTGTTATTCTGAATACCTTAGATGTATAGGTGTTAGTTTGCTGTGTCTAATATTTGACTAAATTAGAAAAATTTTAATGGTCTTTCCATTTCAAATGGTCATCAGTTGTTCCCTAACTGCCTAGAAGAGAACGAGGATTTTTAAAAAGACAAGCAAATAGCATTCCACAGAACGGTTTCATTTTCAGTACAGAACTGCCAGTGCCTGTTGTACCAATTTGTCTCTGCTTGGCCAATATTGATCTCTGTGAAAGGCCATGAGAGTTTGAAGGTTTGCCATTGACACCAGGCGTCATCACCTGGCAGGTCTTCATGCTCATGGAAGCTCACCCGTGTATGCTGTATTTGAGTTTGCTTCCCGAAGACTGCGAGCCTGTCTCAGAAACCACCTTCCCAGGTGCACATTTGCCTCTTCACCTCACATATGTTTATGGAGTTAAACCTGTGGTGCCTTTCTTTTCATAGTATCCCCCTTACAGCTTTCCAAGTGCCCAGCGAGGCCTCTCAATGTCAGAAGCAGGTGCGTCGCTCTGTTTCCACCCACTGGAATCTTGTGTGTCCATTCATCCTCCTCCCTCCTCCCCACTGCTGCCTGCCCCAGTGTCAGTTTTTGGAAGTAAATTCTACCTTCTCTGTGTGCTGCTCTGTGTGAGGTTCCTTGATCCCCATTTCTGAGCCCCGGGTTGGGTGGGCTTCCTTCTTGGCTTGTCTGCCTTAACAGGGTTGCTGCACACGGATGTTACTCATTTATAATACGTGGGATCTACTACTTGGAGTGACAGTGCTCCGTTTTTCTTTTTTTCCCCAAAACTTCAAGGCTTTTTTCACTTAATGTTCCAGATAAACTTTTGAATTATTATCCCAACTTCCTCAAAAAGTCTTACATGAATTTTAAATAGGATTGCATTGTTGCAATCTTCCGGCTTGGGAAGAATGGACATATTCCCAATATCTTACCTTGTTGAACAAATGTGGTGCCCTTGCCATTTGCAGCTCTCTGTTCTCATCTGTAGTTTTCCTGGGAACAACAAGGGGTGGCGGCCTTGAGTGGCATGTGTTGCTCGGTATTAAGAACACAGACAGCAGCCCAGACCGCCCAGATTGAAGTCTTGGCTTTAACCTTTTGGGCCCTGTGACTTTGGGAGGCTTATTAACCCCTCTTCCTTCATAGCCCTCTTCAGAAAGATGGGGTGATGGTGGAGTTAAATTCCCTGGTGGGGCTGTTTTGAGGATGGTTACCAACACAGGCCAAATGTTGACACTAGTACCAAGCACATTGTATAAAGCAAGCTTGAGATATATAATTTGTGTGTGCGTCTGGTGCATTTCTTTTGAGTTTATTTCTCACGGGCTTCACTTCCTGTGCAGTGGTGGATGTGATATTGGAAACTTTTCCACTGTGCACAGCGTCTGAAGACTTGCAGCCGACAAGTTGTGCTCCCCAGGAGCTCAAAAGCTGCTTGGCAAGGCCAGGCCTTGTTAGGAAAACACAGTGGGCCCCAGAAAGCTCATGGTTATTTGGTGCATGAACGGTATTGACAGGGTCACAGTGAGTGTGTGGGGGTGGCTGGAGATCACTGCAGGCTGGTGTGGCCAGTGAAGGCCAAATGAGAGGACCCTCTCAGCTCTGAGAATCATCTGTCCACCCGCTGGTTCCTGGCATGACAGGGGCCACAGCCCAGACACCACTCAGAGTTTTCTGAAGGACCAGGGCAGGAGGGGCCACAGAGCCACGCATCGTGGGCATCAAAACACCCCTGAAACCTGATATTTTAGACTGCTGCCTCCGTTTTCCTACACCCACATTCCATTTACAGATCTAATACATGTGATGGCAAAATAGCCAAAGATTTTCCACACTTGTCAATTCCAGTTACTTAGGCAAGGGAAGCCCTCTCCAATCTGTCCTGAGGTCTAACCATGATTCAGGGTTTATTTTATGCTTTTCCAGGTACTTTAGTGCACATGTGTCACTGTTTAAATGGTATTTAAGTGGGAACAGGATTATTGTGGTTGTCCAGCAACTTGCTTCTGTCATTTCTTATACATTTCCATGAGAGAATGGATGAAATTGAGTTTTAATTTTGTTTTCACATTTCACACCTCCCCTCCTGTTCATCAGAGCTATCTTACTAGATTGCTCCAAGACACACACATCAGGGTCTAAGAAATGTCACCTGTCAGTTGTCCTGGCTTATAATTTCAAGCACCCAAGCTGGTTGGAAAGCTCAGACCATTTGCAAAGATGTGGGAGAGGAGGTTTTCTTAAAGAATCAGAGTCAGTTGGAAACATGGGGAATGAGGCCTTTAGCTGGCTTCGGAGAGAGTCCTGGACCTGGCATAGGATGGATAACGGCAAGAGCTGGGGGCCTTTGAAGGCAGGGTCAGTGCTTGTGGGACAGCCAGAGGCCCCTCCAGGGCCTCCTGTCTTCCCCATGGCACCACGGATGACCCTGGAAGAGGAGCCAGGGAAACCCAAGGGTGCATTCCATCGGCCCTGTGTGTGGAGTTCAGGTTAAAAGTTGTCCTTCGTTGATCTATAGAAAACGCAGGGCTGCTGTGTCTTGGAAGCTGGGTTTAAAGCGTATTTTTCACCCGTGACTCCATTATGCTCAGAACTCTCATATGTCCAAAACACCAGCCTAGAGATGCTGATATTAGGCCACTGCTGATGTGTATTTGGATTGTGTCCATGTTCTACCGTTAGAAACGGGCAGCAGTGTTCATCTTTGTGCTCCTGTCATTATTTCAGAGGGATACGTTGTTGCAATTTCTTAGTGTTGAAATAGTCAAATGACTGTCCTACATAATGACCGTCATTAATGACAGTATCTCTAATGCCTTACCCTTGTCAGTCTAGTTTTATTAATCTTTCAAAAATCTTTGTCATTCAGCTGTGTTTATTTTATTCCAGCAGAAATGAACATTTTAGAAGAAGGTGTAGGCTGGTAATAATATGTGTCTAATTGGTATAGTTTCTCATTATGAAAGAAATTATATATGGGAAAAATATTTTAAAAATATTTTTATTGTGGGAAAAATATATTAAAAACATAGGATTTCCCTCACCTGCCATTTTAAATGTCCAATTCAGTGACATACAATACGTTCCTGGTGCTGTGTGACCCTCACCACTGTCCACCTCTGAAACTCCGTCATCCCTGTAGAAACTCTGTGTCATTAAACAGCAGCCCTCGCTAACCCACCCCCAGCCCCTGGCAGCCTCTGTTCATTCTTTCTGTGTCTATAAATCTGACCATTCTAGATGTTTCTCAAAAGCGGAGTTATACAATATTTATAATGTTGATCTGGCTTATTTCAGTTAGCATGATGTTTTCAAGATTCATTTATGTGGTGGCCTGTGTCAGAACTGCATTCCTTTATATGTCTGAACAGTAATCCATTGTGTGGACACCCCCCCACCGCCGCCATGTTTTGTCGATCCATTCATCTATTGATGGGCATTTGGGCCATTTCTGCCTTTGGCTGTTGTGAATAGTCAACAGTGGACACTGGGGCATGAGTATGCGTGCAGGTCCCAGTCTTCCCCTCCGTTGCTCATCTCCCTCGGGAATGACCTACAAGTGGAATTGCAGGGTCATATGGTGATTCTGGTTTTCATTGTTTCTGTGGGGATGAGAGATGGAAGCGGCTCATTCAGACATCTTTCTGGAATAGTGTTTTGCAGGCATTCCAGTGATTGTAATGCCATTAGTTATTGGAAATTAAACTAGACCTCCAAAAAAAAAAAAAAAAAAAAAACTTTTCCCGGGGATGTTAATGATGGGAAAGACCCAAGAAAAATCAAGCCATGCAAATGGAAGCCTCGTGCTTCTGTGTTGTATTTAGGGCATATTTCTGTATCTAGCATACCAAAGGTTAGAAGAGTTTCAGTAGTTTAGTTGAACCAAGTCTTCAACTATTGAACCAAGGTATTGAAATGGAAAGGGCATATTGTGAGACTTAGAATGGGAGCAGGATCTACAGGAAAAGATTTGATGATGGGACAGGAGACAGTTGCTCGGAAATCTTATACATACAAACTATGCAATGAGAACATAAGGTGGCTTGATATGATTTTATTAAAGAAAATTTAGATGTTTTGGTGTGTGGGCTTTTGAAGCATTGATGCTGAAGATTATGCAGCAACAAAATGTCTTTCCACGGATACAATCCAAATTCAGTGAGAAGGGCATGCTATGATAATATCCACATAATTTTAATTATGGCTATGTAGAGGGTGCTTGCATATGACTAAAAGCTAACAGTAATAAAGTGATAATATGTATTGTGTCAGGGTAGTTGGATAAAAATATATTTCCTAATTTTTTAATAAACTTGCTTATACGTCTCCAAAAGACATGTAAAAGAGTGAGTGTTTCAGAGGAAAGAAGAGTTGTGTAAGTGCAGCAGCTGGTGTTGTGGCTCTAATGTTTTGGGGAAGGAGGTCTCAAGTGCATTTGTGTGGCACACATGACAGAATAATTGATGTCTGCTCCACTGTCACGGATGAGCCAGGCAGGGCTGGGTCCCTCAGAGAAACGGCCCTGTCCTGTGAGAAACGCCACTGCAGTCACGATTTTCCCACAGCCTTAGCTCTGAGAATGCCCTGGCTCATGCTGGCTTAGAATGTGGTCTTGAAGAGCTTGAAGATGGTGCTGTCTTCTGTGTCCAGGGCAGCCTTGTGCAACAGAAAGCTCTGTGCCCGTCGTCACAAGGCTTGCTTCCTCACTGGGATGTGAGTCCACTGGGCAACACTCTTCATTCCATTGAACTTGAGTGTGGTCTTCTGGGAAACTGTTACTGGTTGCCAGTCATGTGACATTGTGAGAGTTAATTCATCATGGGTGTGAGAGGTCTCTGTGAGAGATGCAAGGTCTGATTGGCTCAAGGGCAAATAGCTTGTCCATCTGACATTCACTTTTATTTTAAACTAAAGAGGAGAGAATATGACTATATTCTCATTTATAAGAAACATTCTCAAGTCATTAAAAACAATGATTTTCATGCTCATATAAAATGAGTTTTATTTAACTTATTGATGAGGCAAATTGAGTGAACAGCTGTCTCAAAAAGGATTTACATAGTGAGGAAAGGAATACTGAAAAAAGATAGTTATGCTAGGTATAAAACTGAGTATTGTTCTACAGGGCAATAAACTGATGTTTGAGGATTATCCTCTCTGTTAGAAAGTAATAAAATCTTCAACCCTTAAGTTTTCTAGTTAGGCTCTAAGTTTAAAAGGTTTTAAATGTTAATAATTTGTTAGTCACGGTTATGTTTCCAAAGATGGCCCAGTTCCCCTCATATGGGTTCTTACATGCTGTTAGAAGTGCATATAGTCATCTTTAAAAATTTATTTCCAAGTTTTGGGCAATTATTCCTGAAGTATATCTTTTTTTTTTTTTTTCCCGAGACACTCTCACGCTGTCGTCCATGCTGGAGTGAAGTGGCACAATCTTGGCTCACTGCAACCTCCACCTCCTGGCTTCAATCGATTCTCGTGCCTCAGCCTCCAGAGTAGCTGGGATTACAGGCAGGCACCACCACGCCAGCTGTTTGTATTTTTAGTAGAGACGGAGTTTCACCACATTGGCCAGGGTGGTCTTGAACTCCTCCTGACCACAGGCAATCCGTCTGCCTTGGCCTCCCAAAGTGCTGGGATTACAAGCATGGGCCACCACTCCCGGCCCTGAATTGTATCTTCTGTGATCGTAAATCTCCCTAATGATTATTCTTTATCATAAAAGGCTACTCTCACTTGTGTTCATACAAAGACCGTTAATTGAATTTGTTGTTTAGTCAGCTGGTATTTACTTATCTGATAGATACTGGAAATTGGACATACATTTAATTTACAGATGCTCCTCGACTTATGATGGAGTTATAGCCCGATAAACCTATTGTAAGTTGAAAGTATTGTAAGTTGAAATGCATTTAATACTCTGATAAGCCCATGGTAAAGTTGAAACATCATAAGTTGAACCATTATAAGTCCAAATGCTTCTTGACTTACGATGGGGTTATGTCCCAATAAACTGATTGTAAACTCAAAAATTGTAAGTTGAACCATCATAAGTCTGGAACTGTCTGTATGCCATTTATACAGTTATGATTCCAAAAAGTAATTGTGCTGCCATTGATATTCTTTTTCATCAATTTTCTAATTTGGAGAAGGGATTCTGCACAGACCCCCATGTTGACACCAATTCAGTGGTGGCTCTCTCATGTTGCCTGTGAACGATACTTAGACGTTGTACATATTCCATTAGGCTTGCCTGATCTGTGCACATAGATGCATTAAAAGGTCTTGGTTAGTGTACATACTTCTTCATATGTGGTCTGCGAAAGCTGGGGCCATACAATATCAAGGCCACTGACTTCTATCATGTGGCTTTGTAAAGTTCCTGATGTCTTATTTTGACCCCTTCAGTCATTCCAGAACTGTGTGCTCAGGAAAATGAGTTCCATCATCAGCTCATTTATTTTCAGGCTTGGATCCAAGAACCGTCCAGTTTGACTCCACACAATTTTGCATATTTCACCTGTAACAGAGGGTGTATGCTTCTTTCTAGAAGTCCCTGTTTGCCGAGGTTCTGGCTTGCAGAAGTGACATTCTTTTCTTTCTTTAAGGTGTGTACTTAAGCCAAAATGTAGACACCAGTTCTGTTTCTAAGGAGGGCTTTCTGAATATCATTTCTATATAGGGGGAGCTGTCCTGGCTGTGCAACAGTGGGACCTGTCATTTCATTGAATGATATTTTCCTTAAATTTATACACAAGTATTTCTGATTATTAAGAAATTAGAATTAATACATTTTCAAAGTAACATACTAGTATTTTTATTTTCTTTTAATTAAAACATAACTATGTGAAAATTATGGGAGATATGAAAGAAATTTATCCCGACATTCTGACATTGTTAAAGTTATACGTTTGTGTAAATTTTTTGTTTTCTTCTCTGGTAGAAATAAGGGCAGGTTCTTATTGAAACTGTAAAAGTAACTAAACTGTCATGATGAGTACTGGACTCGGGAAGTCTTCATAGACCTTTTGATCACCATGTGGAGTGGCTTTGCTGGCAAGGCCGATCAATATGTGGATTATTTTCTCCAGCGTCATCATGGACGCCACCAGTGTGGCCATCCACACAGAGATTTGATTGGTTTCAGGCTATAGTAGTTAGAATGAATATAATTTAAGTGTAATCATTAATGAGATTTCTAAGCTTAGCATTTGTAAAAGCATTTCTCTGAATTGTAATTATCATAGTCGTCATCATACTTGTGTTTGGATGGCTCATTTTCTTATAATTTGCATTATATTTTCCATAGCACATTTTTACCAAATTCTGAGGAATTAGTTGGAACAAGATACCAGTGAAAGGGTCTCCCATCTCAAGTAGTAAAATTACAGCTAAAAACAGATGGCGAAGTAAGGAGAGGGGCTTCTTCCCCTGGCCCTAGAAAGCAGAACACTGAATACAATTAAATTACCCTCATCAGTGCCATCCGGTCTCCATAATTAACTTTTGTTCTGCCTGATCTTGGGTCAGCAGCTGCCAGTGCAAGTCGCTTGCCTTTGGAGTCAGTGTCCAGGAGTTGCTGACCCGTCCTTGCACTGTGGCCGTGGGGCGCTGCTGGGAGTCCATGCTGGGGTGGGCGCCTTGAGGGAGCCTCCTGGGGCTGCTCACATGGGCCCTGGCCTGACCTGTGCTCCCAGAGACTCCTTTTGAGGTCACCTGCTCCAGCAGAGGCCCCCGCCCTCCGAGAGGGGAGTGGGAAACCAACCCTGTGACAAAATGGAGAGGCTCCGCTTGGTATTCCCGGCAACAACGACATCAGATGGAGCAGAGTGGAACCCTCCCTGGAGACATGATGTGCTATGACTCCACAGGGGTGGCCGTAGCGGCAGGGGTGGTCACGGCAGGGAGCATGGCCCTCAGCACCCAGGCGCAGGACACTTTGCTGTGGCCCTCAGGTGACAAGAGCCTTGGAAACCCTGATGGCCTTCGTAGGATCCATCTGTGGGTGGCTTTCATGCCAGGCTTTGTGACCGTGCCTCCCTCCATGCTGAGGTACCGACTGCAGCAGCCCATTCCCATGGTCAGGAGGCAGGTCTTAGGTTCGGGGTCCTCTGATGGGAAAAGTGTGGGAATGGGCAGCCCTCGCACAGCCATGCTGGCTGCTGTGCCCCTCTCATCCGGGACTGTGTGGGCTTCGGTGCGGGCGCCATCCAGGAAAGCACCAGTGACATCAGCATGAAAAGCAGCAACAGCGGTCACCCCTCGGAGCTTCTTGTGTCGAAGGAGAGTCCACACCCAGGAAGGAGATGGCCACTGGTCTCATAGGACCTTGCCTGCAGGGAGCAGAGGTGGATGTAGCTTCGCCACCCCACGACCCCATTTGGAAACAGTGTTTGAAAATGAGTATTTCAGAAGGCACCCTACGTAAGGCAAGTCAGCTCTCAGATGTGAGGGAGAAACAAAAGTTAGCAGCTTTGGAGTGGACGTATTTTGGAATGTGAGCTCCCTGGGCAGATTACACAAAAGATAAAGAATAACCTTTTACTGCCTTTTCTTATTTAATTACCAGTCTTCTCTATGTATATGGTACATATATGCATTTTTGCTTATTAATTTTAATATAACTTTTATGTATGTAAAATATTCATATGGATGACTATTAAAGTAAGCGTTAAATGTAATTCCTCTCAACACAACGTAAGCAAGGAATAATCACATTAATTTTATCATCTTAATTGGAACTTTACAAAAAGGAAATTGAGACAGTAAAAACTGTGGTTGGTGACCCCCAGGACCTACTCTTGCTCTGCCTCGGTGAATTTTAATTAATTTAATATTGTCTGGGTAACCAAAGATTTCTCATTTATTAACTCAATATTATTTCAAGATCCTAATGTCATTTATGAACAGTAGGAATTCCATTAAACATTACATAAAAGACCCAGCACCATCACAGTTAACATGAAAAATTTGACAGCGGGATGACATTTAAAATTTTTGTGCAATTAATACAAGTGTAAAGCCAAGTCCAGGTGGCTTGCAGCATTGCCTGAAGTTCGAAAGAACTGACTCTTTTTTTATCCTCTAGAGATCACTTATTAAAATTCAACTTAGTCGACCCAAATGTGTATATTTTTATAATCTCAAACATTATTTGGAAACGATAACTGATAAAACTATATGGAAAACTTTAGGAAGTTTATGCTTCCCACGAGAAAACAAATTCAAGTCTTATGTAAAATAAAATGCATGCTTCCCTTGTATTCTATGTCGTGATACATTCAGGGAGACATAAAGCTGTTTTTAAACCCCAAATTTTTGAACCTATCTGACGTCTTCAGGGATTCACCTTAATTTGAAGCATGATAGTCCTGTGTCTAGGTGGACTCTCTGTTTATAAACCAGTAATGAAAAAGTGCTTCACAGAGGGCTATTCCCGCATGTTTTTATGCACGCAGCCCTGGTGGCGCTGTACTGTCGTGGACTCTGCTGCGACGCAGTTGTCACTTGCTGTCCTGCGTTGAAGACCTTTCTGTGTAGACACACAATTCTCCCACAGAGCAGAGTCGCAGAGGACCCAGCCTTTTATTCAAAGCCTATCGTAAGTCAAGAACAATTATTTCTAACATGCTGTGCCTATCTCCAGGTTCAGCTGTTTATTTGAAACGTAAACAGAGTCCTTGGGAAATGTTGCTGGTATCTGCCGTGTTCCCCACGCGGGAAGCCAGAGAGCGTGGCAAGTGTCTGTCCCATCCTGGGGCCTCGGCCTCCTAATGTTCCTCACCAAGGCCTGGTCCTTCTTCAGGGGTCCCAGTGTGGCTTCTGCCCACACCCAAGGGGCCCAGGCCTTTGGACATTTGCTCTCAAGGGTGGGCACCGCCTCCACCTACCCTCCCCCGAGGGCCACACTTCTTGCTGCTCTGTGCAGATTCTACTGGAAGCCCTTCCAGCGCTGCCAGGCTCGGATCCTGGTGGCCTTGCGATGGCCTTTGGCTCCGCCTGTGGCCATGCTCCGGGGGGTACTGCCTTCCCGCTCGCTGAGCCCGACTTCCACGTTCACACGGCACTGTCGCCACCGCACACACGGCTCCTGAGCCCAACCCCCGCGTGCACACGGCACTGTTCACCTCACATGGCTCCTGAGTCTGACCCCTGCGCTGCACATGGCACTGTTCACCACACAGAGCTCCTGAGTCTGACCCCGCACTGCACACGGCAGTGTTCATCACACACGCGGCTCCAGAGCCCGACCCCCGCATGCACACGGCGCTGTTCACCTCACAGGGCTCCTGAGTCTGACCCCTGCGCTGCACACGGCACTGTTCACCACACAGGGCTCCTGAGTCTGACCCCGCACTGCACACGGCACTGTTCACCTCACACGGCTCCTGAGCCCAACCCCCGCGTGCACACGGCACTGTTCACCACACAGGGCTCCTGAGTCTGACCCCTGCGCTGCACACGGCACTGTTCACCACACAGGGCTCCTGAGTCTGACCCCTGCGCTGTACACGGCACTGTTCATCACACACGCGGCTCCAGAGCCCGACCCCCGCATGCACACAGCGCTGTTCACCACACAGGGCTCCTGAGTCTGACCCCGCACTGCACACGGCACTGTTCACCACACAGGGCTCCTGAGTCTGACCCCTGCGCTGCACACGGCACTGTTCACCACACAGGGCTCCTGAGCCCAACCCCCGCGTGCACACGGCACTGTTCACCTCACACGGCTCCTGAGTCTGGCCCCGCACTGCACACGGCACTGTTCACCACACAGGGCTCCTGAGTCTGACCCCGCACTGCACACGGCACTGTTCACCTCACACGGCTCCTGAGCCCAACCCCCGCGTGCACACGGCACTGTTCACCTCACACGGCTCCTGAGTCTGACCCCTGCGCTGCACACGGCACTGTTCACCACACAGGGCTCCTGAGTCTGACCCCTGCGCTGTACACGGCACTGTTCATCACACACGCGGCTCCAGAGCCCGACCCCCGCATGCACACAGCGCTGTTCACCACCGCATGTGGCTCCTGAGCCTGAGGAGGAGCGTGGTGGCAAGGACAGCTACCATGAGTCTGCAAGCAGCCAGGTACCCTTCTCCTGGGCTGGAGCCAGTGTAGAGGACGGGGACTCTCAGCTCTGCCGTGACCCCCGTGGTCTCCCAAGGACAAGCGCCATTCTTGAGGGACGATCACAGCTTCTCGCCAGACTCCCTGATGAGGTCAGTCACGCGCTGAGACCAGAGCAGGGGCATCATCCTCGTTTCTTGCACAGTAAACGCAGCTGTAACATCTGGACCAGTGGAGCCAGTTGTGGGAATCCATAGGAATTTGAGTTTCAGCGATTGTTCCAGGCAGCGTTTTCCCAGGAAGTGTTTACCAGTTGTCCACGTTGGGGTATGAATGAGTGAAGCTTCATGAATGTAACTTTGAACACTTGATCAGAAAGAGAAAACGGATGACATGTTTCTGATAAATCATGACTAAGATGATTTTTTAAAATATCATTTAAAAAGATAAGTATCGAGGAAGCTTCCATTTCAAACCAACTCCGCAGGAAAGTTTTAGGGTGAATCAAACATCTTTTTCTGTAGTTGAGTTAGTAACTCTAAATATATCCATTTGGTCTTTGAGAATGCTTTCATATCTTTTTTTTAAAAGTTTTTAATTTTCAAACTTTTTAAAAAATGACAATGGATGAATAAGTATTTTTGGTAATGATTAGTTTATGCTATGCACACTGCTTTGTAACCTTCTTTTTCCCTCTAACAAAATGTGATGGGTGTTATCTTTTATCCTCTTTCACGGTTTTTGCTACTGGTGGAGTCTTTTACATCTGGGTTTATTCAAACACATAGAAGCAAATGGACTGAGAGTGAGCATCTGCCTCTCCTCACATTTCCTACGCTAGAAATGACTGTTGTTAGGATGGTCAACCTTCTTCCAGCTTTATTTCCACGCCTGTAAAATAAATGTGTCTGTATGTAAAATATACTTCTTTTTCTCACAAATTGATCCTGAGCTTATTTTGTGCTTCACTGTGCCTTTTGTCACTTGACATACATCAGATAAATCTACTGGCCATTGATGTGTCTCTTGCATTTGAGTGGCTGCGTGACATTGCAAATATGGATGCTCCATCACATGTGTCATGTGGACATTTGGGTTACTTTTCTTTTAAATGAATGCTGAAATAAACTTCTTTGTGTATTTACCTTTCTTGATTATACAGATGTCTTTCCAGCACAGGCTCCTTGGAGAGGTGGCTGGGCCATCGCTGACATTCGTGCTTTCACTGCCTGTGTCATGTGCTCATACACTGTACACGTTTAAACACTTCCTTACTGATGGACAGTGAGATTCTTTCCCCATGTTAGTTTTTCCTAAAGTTTGTTCTAGTTTGAAGAAAATGGGAATGAGCCCAGCTTAAGCGCATATCCCTTTCGAACATGAAGGTTCAGATAAGGCATGAACTTGAGAATTCTGTGCCGCTTAGGCTTTGGGTGCCTGTGGTTTTGAGAGTGAGTAGATTATTCTTACTCATTTGATTCTAAGAAAAAGTAGCTGTTGCTGAGGCTTAAGATGCCCTTAATTGTTTGGATGCCTTCATGAATTTCAGATTTATTCGTGTTCAATAGTTGTATGGAAAGATAAGGATGTGAAACCTAGAATTCAATTCAGAGCAAGAGGAAAAGTTCAAAATTTTGACATGCATGGCTATTTCAACATTTCAATGCACAATTTGACTTAAATTGTGGATTTTTTTCTTGGATGGGTTGTGGATTTCTGAGAAATGTACAAATACCTATGTACATTTATTGCTGAAAGAGGTTTGTTTTACTACTGTATAAAATCTTAAAGGATCCCAAAAGTGGTGTTCAACAAAGAGGTGTATATATATATATGTATATATATATATATACACCTCTTTGTTGAACACCACTATATATATATATATATATATATATATATATATATATATATATATATATATATATATAAATACTTTAAACTCCCTAGAACTGAAAGTATAACAAACAGGTGTTTTCTTCATGATGACTATGATGTTGTTTTTCTTTACGTCAGTATCTTCACTGTATTTAGTCTGTAGCTTCTCTCCTGATACACAAATGCACTCACACACGTGCTCATTTGCCCTCATGCTGACACAGATGCACACACATTGTTATTCACCTGTCTTCCCAATTTTTCTTTCCTTTTGTGTTCCCTCAGTTTTGAATTTTAATTTGGTGACTTCAGGCAGAGTCTGATTTGTGACTTCTGTTTATGTTGTAACTTGGGAATATCTGACTTTTACTGAATACAAGCCACATGTGGGCAGTAAAAGGAAGATGATTATGACAGCTATGCCCGTGGGGCCCCTGCCCCCAACCCCCCAGCTGGTGCTTTGCTGATTCCTTTCAGCTACCGACCCACCTAATTCTCTGAGAACCTTTCATGGTCAGATGGTCAGTAGGAATGGGAAGCATGGCCCCTGTGAGCTGAAGTGACTTATGGGGGCTCCATCAGTGTGGAGGTGTTCACAGGAAGTCCACAGGGAGGAACTCCAGAGCCTGTGCCTCCTGCTCCCTGCCCACATTCCTCCAGGTCCTTGCATTCACTCGTGCACTTCTACTAGAAGACGGGGCTCCCTGGGATCCCTGTGGGGCTCCTGTTCCATACTAGCCTCCCCTGGTGGCGGCCAAGCCCCAAGCCAGCGCCATGAGTGCATCCTCAGTTGGGAGGGCTGGGCAGACTTGACCACCTTTATTTCCACTCTGTTTAAGTTTTTGTAACATACAGGGACGAAAGAAAGAAAGCCCTTATACATGCACTGGGCAGCACCTGTGTCAGCGAGTGACAGGCTTTCAGCAGCATGGTATGTCCTCACCTCACGTCTTCAGTAGGGTTCCTGGAAGCTGCGACTCCACGTATAATGAGTCGCAGTGGATCCACGTATAATGGATCCACGTATAATGAAACCGATGTTTTTTCCTCATCCACCTTGTAAGGAATCAAAGTTGAACTAAAAGACATTATGGTGGGATTTGCTGTAAGTTGTTTCACCTAAAGTCACAGTTCCCGCGAACCAATCAAGGACATTGAGGACTTGCTGCATAGTGTGTGGGTTCATCTGTGGCTCAGCTCGTGTGGGCCATGGGGTTCCCAGGCATCAGTCAGATGTTCTTCTGGGGATGCCTGGAGGCATTTCTGGATGAGAGTCTCATGATAATTTTTTGCCTCAGTGAAGCAGACCTCTCCCCAGGGGGGATGGGCTCACGCAATCCCCTCAAAGACCTGACTAGAATGAAGGACACCTTCCACCAAGTCTGAGAGAATTCCTGCTTCATGGCCTCCGATGTCAGCTCTTCCTGGGTCTCCAGCCTGCAGGCTTCAGACTGGAACTTCACAGTTGGCTCCCTGGGCCTCCCGCTGGCCGACACACTCTGCAGATCTTGGGACTCGTCACCCTCCATGCGCGAGTGAGCCAATCCCTTGAAATCTCCTTCTCTCTACACGTGCACAGCCTATTAGTTTCTCTGGAGACTCCTGACGAATACACAAACCAGTGCAGGTTTGTAGCCCAGCAAACCCAGTGTGCTGGAGCAGCTCGTACTGGCTTGCAAGAACCAACTGTTAAGTTTTTAGGAATCTTGTGTGCCAGTTAGAAAAAAAAAAAAGATATAAACTTAAATAATTATATTACCAACAAAGATAATACATATTCAAAACCTGTTGTGTCCTAGGTACTTTGTGGGTGCTCTAAAAGTTCCTTATTTCTCTCTTGTCTGCAGGGAGGTGCAGTTCATGCTATGCTGCTGCAAACCTCCCCTCAGCTCCCTGTTCAGTGATGTCATAAGGGTGGCTTGGAGGGAGCCTGGTGGGAGAATTTACACAGTGGGAATCAGCAGATATTTTGCATCAGACTCTGATTTATTGTTTTGGTGATCGTGTAGACTTAAAGTGATGGGGAATATGTTATTAGTACAGATTAAACCTAGAAGTGTATTACATCTGTGGCCATTATATTGTCAATAGCATAAACATTTGAGGTTATGTTCTTTTAATATTCAAAACTATTATCTGATTCAGCAAAAAATTGTTCACACCATTGACAAATGAGTGAAATTCTGACATGGTTCAGCAAAAAATTGTTCACACCATTGACAAATGAGTGAAATTCTGACATATATCTTCATTTTTTTCATTTTTATCCTGCTCATTAACCTAAAGAAAAATGTCCACCGGCATTCATTTTGGAGCTGCAGTCATTTGTCAATGACACCAGCAGCTTCTTTGCTGAGTCAGATAGTGATCAAGCTTTTCTTCATCATCTTATTTGGTGACAATATTGTTACTGATAGAGTTATAAAAATTGATGGTGGGTTTGCAAGAAATACCAAGTCACAAAGAAATTATAGGTGTGTTGACTTTATAGTAAGGATGTTATATATTTTATTTTTAAAAAATTGTGTGCAACTCATTTTTTACATAGCAAACCTACAAAGACACATATACACATTTTTCTCCAGAGAGGTGGCTGATCAACGTTTATCAGCCCACCAGTGCTTAAGGACAAATGGCAGAATTCTTATCATGACTTTCCCTTGCCATCTGTACTTGGATACATTTCTTCTGTAATAGGAATAGAACAGGCCTGTTTTTTGGACTAATGTAAACATGAGGGATTAGATTTTGTAAGAATACTTATTTTGAGAATAACACTATATTGTTTGTTTTTACAAACCAAGGCTTTTTTCTTCTAAACTGTCTGAGAAATGGGAACATGTGTGTTCTGTGTCCTTAGAGACATGTAATTATTTTAACAAATGGCTCTTAAAATTTAGTGTAGGAAAAAATGCCTTAATCAACTAAATGGGTGATAGAGACTTGAGCTGCACAAAGCTTCTAGTATATTCTATGACCTTGATTTTAGCCTTAATAACACACCAAAGAGATGCAATGAAATTTCCATTGTCAGACCCCAGACTATCTTAACCTTGTTAACGATTATATACTTCTAAGAAAATATAAAATTTCAATGTTTAAGTAATGTGCATTATTTTCTGCTAGAATGCAAGTGAAGAAAATAAATTTTACCTCCATGTTTAACCGTAAACCTTAGAGTCTGCCCATCAGTAGTGTGGCTCTCCTGTTCAGATCAGGATCTTAAATGGTAACTTGAAAACCTGGGAGTATGAATGAAAATTCAGGACTTATTTAGATAATTGGACTTTATCAAAATGAGTAATTTTTGTGGTTTCGAGGACACCATCCGGAAACTGAACAGCCAACGTAGAGGATGGGAGAAAGTATTTTCATATCAAATACCTGTATGTATCCAGAATTCATAAAGAACTCTTGTAACTTAACAATAAAATGACTAATAACCCAACTGAAAAGTGGACAGAGGGTTTCTGCTCTGACACATAAGGGCATTGGAAGTCACCACTGTTATCCTCCTCACAAGAGAAGTGCTGAACTCGCTGAAAATTGACAACTTTTCTTAGATCCCTGGGTAAATTGAGGTCACAGGGCACGTGTTCCTCCCCAAAATTGGAGCAACCAGCAGATGGATGCAGGAATCACAGCTTGTTACCACCACTGGGAGAAGCAGCCCCAGCTGGAGTCAGCACCCACTGGGAGCACTGAAACCACATTGTCAAAGTGCTGGATTCTAAGCATGGACTTGCTTGAGAGAGAAGACTCTGGAGAGCCCATTCTACTTGTGTGAGTTTTATTTCTAGGAGCCACACCAGGTTGCTCAGGTGAAGATCATAGAAAAATACCCGCATACTTCTGCCAGGAATAGGGAAAAGTCATCATCATGGAGTACTCTCAGAGGATTGTATTCTGAGCAAGGCCTGCCCTCAATAGAAATCTGTTTTTCAAGCCTCACAGACTTGGGTTTTATGGGATCCTAAGCAATGAGAGTGAAGGGGAATTCTCAATTCCAGCCCCATTGTCTTCCTTCCTTACACAGGGGGAAGAAAGCTAAGAAGCACTTGTGATGGTTGCAGCCCAGGGGTACAGGCTTATTATAGAACTGAGACCCAATCATAGCATTGTTCGGTGGCTCTTTTCCTTCAACAACTTTCCACCACATCAGTAGGGCTCCTGTATAATAACATGGAACTAGAGCTGAAAGGGGTCATTGCTAGATTCAGGTCCTATTTAAGAAGTCATCTTGGGGAAACCAAAAGTTGTAACAGGAGAGACAAAAACAAGGACAACACAGGACATTTTAACCTCTTAAACCTACATCTATAGCAGACATAAACACAGCCTGACTCCTAGATGGACAGACATAAATCTCACCCTAAAGTTTCATTTATCTTAGTGCACTTTTACCTGCTTCACTATATCCATCATGCAACGAAAAACCTACAAGGCATGCGGAAAGGAAGAAATGAAAGATAATCTGAAGACACAAAGCAAGCACCAAAATAAGACCTAGATATAGCAGAGACTGAAATTATCAACAGATAGTGCTAAGGGTTCTAATGGAAAAAAAGTGGACACTGACAAGAACAGATGAGTGATATAAGCAAAGAGATGGAAACTCTAAGAAAATCAAAGATAAAAAACATAGCTGGGCATAAAAAACACTGTGACAGAAATGACAAATGCTTTTGATGGTCTAATCATTAGACTGGGCATAGGCCAGGTAAAAATCAGTGAGCTTAAGGAACTTCCAAACTGAAAAGCAAAGGTAGAAAATATTTTTTTTTGTATTTTTTTCTTATTTATTTATTTATTTATTTATTTATCATTCTTGTGTGTTTCTCGCAGAGGGGGATTTGGCAGGGTCATAGGACAATAGTGGAGGAAAGATCAGCAGATAAACAAGTGAACAAAGATCTCTGGTTTTCCTAGGCAGAGGACCCTGCGGCCTTCCGCGGTGTTTGTGTCCCTGGGTACTTGAGATTAGGGAGTGGTGATGACTCTTAACGAGCATGCTGCCTTCAAGCATCTGTTTAACAAAGCACATCTTGCACCGCCCTTAATCCATTTAACCCTGAGTGGACACAGCAGATGTTTCAGAGACCACCGTGTTGGGGGTAAGGTCATAGATAACAGCATTCCAAGGCAGAAGAATTTTCCTTAGTACAGAACAAAATGGAGTCCCCTATGTCTACTTCTTTCTACACAGACACAGCATCAATCTGATTTCTCTATCTTTTCACCACATTTCCCCCTTTTCTATTCGACAAAACCGCCATCGTCATCATGGCCCGTTCTCAATGAGCTGTTGGGTACACCTCCCAGATGGGGTGGCGGCAGGGCAGAGGGGCTCCTCACTTCCCAGAAGGGGCGGCCGGGCAGAGGCGACCCCCACCTCCCTCCCAGACGGGGCGGCTGGCCGGGCGGAGGCTGTCCCCCCACCTCCCTCCCGGACGGGGCAGCTGGCCGGGCGGGGGCTGTCCCCCCACCTCCCAGACAGGGCGGCTGCCGGGCGGAGACGCTCCTCACTTCCCAGACGGGGTGGCTGCCGGGCGGAGGGGCTCCTCACTTCTCAGACGGGGCGGCCGGGCAGAGACGCTCCTCACCTCCCAGACGGGGTCACGGCCGGGCAGAGGCGCTCCTCACATCCCAGACGGGGTGGTGGGGCAGGAGGCGCACCCCACATCTCAGACGATGGGCGGCCGGGCAGAGATGCTCCTCACTTCTTTCCAGATGGGGTGGCAGCTGGGCAGAGGCTGCAATCTCGGCACTTTGGGAGGCCAAGGCAGGCGGCTGGGAGGTGGAGGTTGTAGTGAGCCGAGATCACGCCACTGCACTCCAGCCTCTGCTTTTTCTCAGTTCCAGCTCCTTTCTCTTTCACGGTACCTCAGTTGCTTCTACTTTATCGGATAGTGTTGGAGATCATGGAGGGAAGGCAAATATACGCGCGGCTGAGCGGAGGCGAATCCGGAGCGCGAATCCGGGGCTCGGGCCCGTGGCCCCGCGGCGGTCCGGGAGGTCGGGGCGGGCGGTGGCGGCTGCGACCACGGGGCCAGGCCTCTTCCCCTCCTCCGCCACCGCCGCCACCGCCACCGCCGCCACCCCGGCTGGAGAGCGCTGGGCGCAAGCTGCGCGCGCAGACCGGGCCACTCGGTCGCCAGAAAAGATTTTTTTAAAAATGGAACAGAATATTGAAGAACTGTAGGAGAAATACAAAAGAAGTAACATATGTGGAATGGTAATACCAGAAAGAGAAGAAAGAAAGAAAAGAAAAGAAGAAATATTTGTAGTAAAAGTTGATGAGAATTTTTCGGAACTAATGGTAAGACACCAAACCATATCCAGGAAGCTAAAAGAACCAGCAAGATATATATTAAAAATCCACAACTAAGCATTTCATATTCAAACTATAGAAAATCAAAGATGAAAATGAAATCTTGAAAGAAGCTACAGAAATAAAATGGCTCACGTACAGAGGGGTAAGGATAAGAATTACTTAAGTCTACTCTTTGTAAACCATGCAAGCAGGAAAAAAGTTGATTCAAATATTTAAAGTGTTGAAAGAAATAAGTAAAACACCAACCCAGAATTCTGTCTATAGATGACTTCATCCAAAACAGCAGAAACACATTCCTCTCAAGCTTATATGGAATATTCATCAAGATAGAATATATTCTGGGCTATAAAACACACCTTAAAAATTTAAAAGACTAGAAGTAACACAAAGTCTGCTCTTAGACCATAGTGGAATTAAACTAGAAATTAGTAACAGAAAGATAGCCAGAAGTTTCCAAAATATATAGATACTAAACAACATACTTCTAAATAACACATTCGTCAAAGAAGAAGTCTCAAGATAAATTTTAAAATATTTCAAACTAAGTAAAAATGAAAATTCAACTTATCAAAATTTTTGAGATACCAAAAAGGCCAGATTAAAAGGAAATGTATTTACCATTGAATACATATTTAGAAATGGAGTAAGATCCAAAATCAATCATCTAAACTTCTTCTTTAAAAAACTAGAGAAGAGCAAATTAAATCCAAAATAAGCAGAAGAAAAGAAATACTATGAATGAGAAAAGAAATCAATGAAACTGAAAATAAGATATTGGTATAGAAACTTAAGCCAAGAGCTTGTTCTTTGAAAAGATCAAAACACTTGACGAACCTCTGACCAGGCTAATGAAGAAAAAAGGGAGAGAAGATCCAAATTACCGAAATCAGAAATGAAAGAAGGGCCATCAGTCCTGATTCCAGGAACATTAAAAAGATAATAAAAGAATACTATGAATAACTCTGTGTCCAAGAATTTGATAACCTGCATGAAATGGACAAGTTGTTTGAAAAACAAACCTGTCAAAACTCACACAAGAAGGAATAGACAATCTGAACAGGCCTATATCTATTAAAGAAATTTAACAAATAACTAATAACTTTCCAAAACAGTAAGCACCAAGCCCGCATGGGTTCATTGGTGAATTCTATCAAATATTTAAGGAAGATAATTATTTCAGTACTCCACAACCTATTCCAGAAGACAGAAATAGAGGGAATAAATGCTAAATAATTCTATAAAATTATTTAGCATTCCCCTCAAATCAAAACCAGAAAAAGACATTTAAAGAAAGGATCACTGCAGACCAGTATTTCTCATAAACATAGATGTGGAGATCCTCAGCAAAGTATGAGGGAATCAAATCTAACAACGTATAAAAATAATTTTACACCATGACCAAGCTGGATTTATCCAGGTATGCAAGGCTGGCTCAACATCTGAAAATTGTAATCATTCACAGGCTAAGGAAGAAAAAATTACATCATGTCTATAGTACAGCAAAAGCATTTGCCAAAACCCAGCACCCATTCATAATAAAACTCTCTACAAAATAAGAATACAGGGGGAACTTCCTCAACTTGATAAGGAATATTTACAAAAAACCCTGTAGCTAAACTCATACTTCATGGTGAGAAACTGGACAATTTCCCCTCATATCAGAAGCAAAACACTCTTACCATGTTGGAAGTTTGAGCAAATGCAATGAGACAGGAAAAGGAAATAAAAGCTGTACAGACCAAGACGGGAGAAATAAACCTATTTCACAGATGACGTTGTCTGTGGAAAAAATCCAAAGAATCAACAAAAATTACCCTGAAACCAATAAACAATTATAGCAAGGTTGCAAGATACAAGGTTATTATACAGAAGTCAGTTATTTTCCTATACACCAGCAATAAAAAATTGGAATTCAAAATGGAAGACACAAGATAAAATTAACACCAAAAATAAAGAAATACTTAGGTATAAATCCAAGAAAGCATGCATAAGATCTGTATGAAGAAAGCTACAAAACTCTTATAAAAGACATAACATTTTCACGATAATAAGTACAAAGTTGGAGGGATGACTTCGAGACTTATTAGAAAGGTACTGTAATGAAGACAGTGTTGTATTGGTCAAAAAATCGGCCAATAGAACACAATGGAAAGCCCAGAAAATAGACTCAGTGCAGGCCGGGCGTGATGGTTCAAGCGTGTAATCCTAGCACTTTGGGAGATCGAGGCGGGCGGATCACAAGGTCAGGAGATCGAGACCATCCTGGCCAACATGGTAAAACCCCATGTCTACTAAAAATACAAAAAAATTAGCTGGGCGTGGTGGCAGGTGCCTGTAGTCCCAGCTACTTGGGAGGCTGAGGCAGGCGAATGGCGTGAACCCGGGAGGTGGAGCTTGCAGTGAGGCGAGATTGCGCCACTGCTCTCCAGCCTGGGCGACAGAGCAAGACTCTGTCTCAAAAAAACAAAAAACAGAAAATAGACTCAGTGCAAATAGGGCCAACCAATCTTTGACAAAGGAGCAATTCAGTGTAGAAAAGATGGCTTTTTCAAAAACGGTGCTGGAACAACTGGACATCTACATGCAAGAAAAAATGGATGTAGACGTAAACCTTTGACTTATAAAAAACATAACTGAAAATAGATTTTAGACCTATATATAAAATGCAAAACTGTAAAACTTATAGAAGATAGCATAAAATACCTAGGTAACTGTAGATTTAGTGATGACATTTTAGATATAGTACCAAAAGCACTGTTCATGAAAGAAATAATTGATAAGTTGAACTTGCATTAAAGTTAAAAACTTCTTTGTGAAGACCATGTTCAGAGAATGAAATGACAAGCTACAGACTGGGAGAAAATATTTACAAAACACTTACCTAATAAAATACATGGATTGGTAGCCAGGATTTATGACTTGTCTGCTTATCCAAAAATGGTACTCAGCCAAGATAAGAGGTCAGCTTCTTGCATTTCTTCACCTCTCTCACTTTCCTCCTCTTGCCTCCCCTCCTGAAATGTTGCAAATGTTTCTGTAGACCAGCCCTACAGTGGGCAGAGACCCACTCCTTGCCTCTGTCTGTACCTGGTTGGTCTAAAGGCAATGAGAAAATGAAATCATTCCTTCTCTTGAAGTCTGTCTCCCTGAAGAGCACCTCCCATGTTCTTCTGACAGCTGAGGTGGACACATGCCTTTGGTCAGGCAGGTAAACAATTTTATGTGCAAATGAGTGGATTAGTTTCCATGGAGGGCACATGGCAATGTGAGGTCAAAACTAGGTTTCTGACCCCTGTGATGTGTGACACTTTCTGATATAGCAAAATATCTTTCTCCAGTAAGGTATATTCAAAGCTGCTGCTTCAAATTATTGCCAGTTAGTTTTGGGTACTTATTTTTGAACTCATGCCTCCTTGCGAACTTTTTCAATGAGTTTTAACAGGATCCATATTTTAATTTATACTTAGTAAACTCTATAAAACTGTCCTTCTTTGTGAAATATAATTAGAACATTTTCCCTGTTATAGACTGTTTTTTAAGAGAGTTCATAGAATTTTAGTAATGTGGGGAGGGCGTCGGGGATGCAGTGAGGGGCTGGGTTCTGGTCTTTGGTGTTGTGGGGAGGGCGTCGGGGATGCAGTGAGGTGCTGGGTTCTGGTCTTTGGTGTTGTGGGGAGGGCGTCGGGGATGCAGTGAGGGGCTGGGTTCTGGTCTTTGGTGTTGTGGGGAGGGCGTCGGGGATGCAGTGAGGGGCTGGGTTCTGGTCTTTGGTGTTGTGGGGAGGGCGTCGGGGATGCAGTGAGGGGCTGGGTTCTGGTCTTTGGTGTTGTGGGGAGGGCGTCGGGGATGCAGTGAGAGGGTGGGTTCTGGTCTTTGGTGTTGTGGGGAGGGCGTCGGGGATGCAGTGAGGGGCTGGGTTCTGGTCTTTGGTGTTGTGGGGAGGGCGTCGGGGATGCAGTGAGGGGCTGGGTTCTGGTCTTTGGTGTTGTGGGGAGGGCGTCGGGGATGCAGTGAGGTGCTGGGTTCTGGTCTTTGGTGTTGTGGGGAGGGCGTCGGGGATGCAGTGAGAGGGTGGGTTCTGGTCTTTGGTGTTGTGGGGAGGGCGTCGGGGATGCAGTGAGGAGCTGGGTTCTGGTCTTTGGTGTTGTGGGGAGGGCGTCGGGGATGCAGTGAGGGGCTGGGTTCTGGTCTTTGGTGTTGTGGGGAGGGCGTCGGGGATGCAGTGAGGGGCTGGGTTCTGGTCTTTGGTGTTGTGGGGAGGGCGTCGGGGATGCAGTGAGGTGCTGGGTTCTGGTCTTTGGTGACGTGGGGAGGGCGTCGGGGATGCAGTGAGAGGGTGGGTTCTGGTCTTTGGTGTTGTGGGGAGGGCGTCGGGGATGCAGTGAGGGGCTGGGTTCTGGTCTTTGGTGACGTGGGGAGGGCGTCGGGGATGCAGTGAGAGGGTGGGTTCTGGTCTTTGGTGTTGTGGGGAGGGCGTCGGGGATTCACTGAGGGGCTGAGTTCTGGTCTTTGCCACGCGGGCATGTGTATATCATCTGGTAAGGCATTTCAATGGTGGGATTTTCCCCAGAAGTGAATGAAGACTTTTCAAACAGCTTACCTTTTGATAAGCTTGACAAAACCAGGTTTCTTTACACATTCCCAGTTAAAAATAATGCTGATCCCAAATACTCATAGCCAAAAATGTATGACATATTATTGCAAAAATAACTCCGTAATCTTTCTCTGCTGGCAACGAGTTTAGGGTTTGCTGGTAGATCAGCAAGATTGGTGAGAGACCCTGTTAGGAAGCTTGGGTCACTCCCCAGCTTGTTCCCACACTTCATTCTCCGCAGGAGTGTTCAGGAGCATGCAGTCCGAATGCTAGCCCTTGTCATTAAGAATTCTAAATTGGGGGTGGGGGATGGCGAGTGCAGTTCTTGAATCCAGGTGAGCTCAACATTGTTAAGATTCTTCAAAAGCAATCACACTGACTTCACAAAGGAACATAATGGCACCTAGCATCTCTTCTGATGGGATTATAATGACAAACTAATAAAAACAGTAAGCAAATGGAGATTACAGCTTTAAATATACTGACATCCGAAGGAGTGGGAAAATAGATGCTAAGACTGATGGGAATCTCAGTGGATATCCACCCCACAAGGGAGAAATTGAGTAGTTGAACCTAACAGCAGACATAATAGTCTGTGATTTTATCCTTTTTCTAAAAATGTGCTGCCACCAAAGTGACACAGTGATCTTGTTCCCAGCCTCACATCCCTGACCTGTAACTGGAGAGACAGGAGACATGGTATTGTAATCAACTTGTGAAATTTGAGAAAAAAGTGCTTGCTGATTATCACTGTGTGGGCAGGTTTTGCACCTGCCTGTAATGATGGAGTAATTTCTCATTATCAGGTAAAGGGTGATCCTACTTTGAAATGAGAACTGCCCTCTGAGCGTCAGGAAGGGGTTGGATTGGTGGAAACTAGGTGTGAAGCATGGCTATCCACCCAAAATGACCCATTGTTTTCAGGCACATGTGCCAGTCCTTTCTCTTGCATGCAGTTTTAAGGAAGGATTAGGATATTTTGAGATGTAACAGTTTTGTCACATGGCCTGCCTAAGTGAAAGAAGGGAAACATTTGCAGTCTTGGACACTCAGTCCTTTGGGAGGAAGTTTGCGGTTTCCTTGGGTTTGCCATTCTGTGTTCCACATCACAGCTGTGGTAAGAAAGAGGAGTGAGAGAGGGGCTGGGAGTGAGGCACGCAGAACCATGGAGCTGCTAAGGGGAGATGTCTGTCTGCAACCTCTAGGACTTGGCAACTGTTCAAAGGTGGATTTGTGGAAGTTTTGGCTTCAGTGACTGGGAAAACGATAGTGCCATTCGTGCATGGGACACCAAGGCCAGACTCAGAGCTGGGATTCCGGGAGTCAGGAGTGACTGAAGAGGAGACCTCTCAGGAGACAAATCTATAACTTGGAGGGATTCAGGCCAGACTTTGTGATTTGAAAATCATCTGCGTGGACATTGTAGCCAAAGAAACGGGATGGGAGGAAATATCCATAGAAGGTGCAGGGCCCACCGTGTGGAATGGTGGAATCCTACATTTTGGTTAATGACCTGGGAAAGACATGCTTTGGGCTATTGATGGCTGTAGGGTCCAGATTGCAAAAGCTCAGCAGTGCGTAGGGATAGACCTTCTAAAAACACAAAGTCAACTATTGCAGTTAAACTGCATGTAATCAGCCACAATTGAGCCAAGTTTCCATTTCCTGTGTCATCCTTGTACCTGAGAGTGCCTTGGAGCAGGGATTGGGAACTGTGACCTTGGGTGCTTATTTCTGTTCTCTCTTCGCCAATTCATTCGCTCAAGGTTGTGAAACACGTGCTGTGTGCTGTCCATGGCGCTGAACTCTGTTGACACAGAGGTGAATCCAGGTGGGCAGGTAAGAGGAGGAGTCAGTTAAAGCAGCCGTGCTGAGGAAGGAGAGACTCCAGCAGGAAGGAAGGAAGCTGGGTTCCGGGAGGACACGCTGGCTCAGCTGAGGAGACAGAGATGCAGGATAGGGAATGGGGGCTCGACAGGTGGCAGCTGAGCGTTTGGATGACCTGGGGCCAATGGGAGAGGGAGGGATAGGAGTGGACAACGGGCAGCAGTTAGGGAACACACAGGAACGCCTGGAATTCTAGACTGAGGAGCTGAGACATTCGTGTGATAGTGGCAAAATGTACATAACATAAAATTTACCATTTTAATCATCTGGGTTCACAGTTCAATGGTATTAATTATATCTATAATGTTATGTGACCAACATTACCATCTATTTCCGGAAAATTTTCCTTAGGCCACATAGAAACTCTATCCCTGGTGAAGACTGGCTTCCTGTCCCCTGCCCCAGACCCTGCACCTGTAACCTACTGTCTGTCTCTCGGAATTCCCCTATGCTAGATATTTCATGTAAGTGAGATCATACGGCATTTGTCCTTTGGTGCCTGGCTTATTTCACTTAGCATAGTGTTTCCAAGGCTCATCTGGGTTGTGGCATGCATCAGAATACCGTTGCTTTCTGGGGCTGAGTTGCCCCTCCTTGTAGGCATAGACCATATTCTGTTGATCCATGTACCTGCTGATGGGGACTTTGGCTGTGTCCCACCTTTTGTCTATTGTGCTATTGTGAATAAGGCAACAACGACACTGGTGTCCCAGTGTCCACTTGAGTCTCTGCTTGTGATTCTTTGGCTTTGTATCTAGGAGTGGAAGCGCTAGGTCATTTGGTAAATCTGTTTAACCTTTTAAGGAATAGTCAAACTGTTTGCACAGCAGCTGCGCCGTTTTACATTTTACCAGCAGCGTACGAGGGTTCCAGTTTCTCTGCATCCTCTCCGATATGGTATTTTTTGTTGTTTGATAGTAGCTGTACTAGTGAGTGTGAGGTGGTATCTCACTGTGTTTTATATTTGCATTTCCCTGACAATTAGTGACGTTGAGCACCTTTCATGTATTTATTATCCATTTGTTCATCTTTGGAGAAATACTGATCCAAATCCTTTGCTTATTTTCTAATTGGTTTGCTAATGTGTTGTTGACTTGTAGAAGTTCTTTATATATTGTGGATATTAATCTCTTCTCAGATGTTTTGTTTGAAACTATTTGCTCTTGTTCTATGAATCCTCTTTCCACAAAGAGTTTGAACTTTAACGTTGAATGGGAATCCAGTGCATCTCCGTGCCTGCGGGTCTTCCTTGTTTTCTGCTGTTCACAGGTAAACTGGATACCACATCCCTGGCCTTGGAAGTCATCTCTGGGCAGTGCTGTCCTTTTGCTCCTCCACCTTTAAACTTGCTTTGCTCCTGGCTAACCATGTCTCCTCTGCACAGCATGGGACAGGTTAGTTAGGAATGCTCTTCAGCCTCCCAAGGGGCCTGGCTCTGGTGCCTTCCAGTGGAGCGAGTGTGGACAGGTTGTATAACTCCACTGTGTCTCAGTTTCTGCATTTCTTCATCTACGGAGCAGAGATAATAACAGTACCTAACCCACGGGTGACCGTGCAAGACCCGTTAATGGATGAATGCACATGAACCCTTGGAACCATGCCTCAGCAGGCACTCAGCATGTGCGACAGTTTTTACTGTAATATTTTTTATTTTCAACTAGACTCAAGAGCTGTTGATATTTTTGTGGCTTCTTTACTCTTATCTCATTCTTTTACCTCTGCTAAGTGGAGCTGTTTAGCAATCAGTCGATGGTTTGAGTGACTTCTCTGTGCCTAGACCCACAAAGGGCTTTTCTCTAGAAAGAGTTTAGAAAGATTTTTATGAAGTGATAGATATTTTTTCTTTGTCAAGGAAAAATAGAGCCTTATAAAGAAGGCCAACTTGCTATGGAGGGAAGCGAAGGTGAAGAGGCTTAGGAAGATGAGGATTCTTTGCTATAAAATAAAATTCTTGCAAGAAAAATAAATGCAATATGGATATGAGCAAATTCTTGGATTTGTGGTCTCAAGACTTTTGTGAATGCTGCTGACCTAACCAATAAGTCTCTGCACTGTGCTCGGACCTAAAGCAGCTGGGCTACCTTTCGTATGGAGCTTTCTAGTCCACAGTTGGTCCGTTTATACTGCCTGGTAGTTTAGTATTTGTGTTCATTTTTTATCTGCTTTAATACACTCTAGGAATTTTAAAGGTAGGATTTTTTTTTTTTTTTTTTTTTTTTACATTTCTGATCCCTTCGTGGGTTTTTGCACAAAAAGCTCCTTAAGAAAGATTTGCCAAATGCGTATATCTGCTTTAGTTTCCTATTTCTATATAGAGCCTCCCTTTAGATAGGGAGCTGTTTGAAAAATAAGAGCTACTATTCACTTTTCCTGCGGGATAGGATCAGGGCAGGGTGAACTTACCCGATGGACCTGACGGACTAGCCGGCCTTGGTCCACACAGCACAAGTTTCCCATTTAGATAATGTTCTCTTGAAAATCGGACACTGATGGACCTTTAAATATGCCCTTAGAATCCACGTGTTGGTGGAAGGTACAGGTCCTCGAGATGTTCTTGTGTCCCTTAGAATCCACGTGTTGGTGGAAGGTACAGGTCGTCGAGATGTTCTTCTGTCCCTTAGAATCCACGTGTTGGTGGAAGGTACAGGTCGTCGAGATGTTCTTGTGTCCCTTAGAATCCACGTGTTGGTGGAAGGTACAGGTCGTCGAGATGTTCTTCTGTCCCTTAGAATCCACGTGTTGGTGGAAGGTACAGGTCGTCAAGATGTTCTTCTATCCCTTAGAATCCACGTGTTGGTGGAAAGTACAGGTCCTTGAGATGTTCTTCTGTTCAAATTCCACCTTCATCGTACATACCCTGGATATGTCACGTAACTTCCCTGAGACTCAGTTTACTCATTTGTTAATTGGGTGACTCTGAAGATAAAAAGAGGTAGCATTTATTTTAATTTTTTTTAATTAAAAGAAGTTTTTGGGATAGGACCTTGCTCTGTTGCCCAGGCTGGACTGCAGTGGTGTGATCGTGGCTCACTGTGGCTTCCACCTCCCAGGCTCAAGCAATCCTTTCACCGCAGCCTCCCGAGTAGCTGGGACTATATATAGGTGTATGTCACATGCCTGGCTAATTTTTTTTGTAGAGACCAGGTCTCGCTTTGTTGCCCAGGCTGGTCTTGAACTCCTAGGCTCAAGTGATCCTCTTGCCTTGGGCTCCCAAAGTGCTGGGAGTGCAGATGTGAGCCACTGTGCCTGACTGAGGTAACATTGCTAATGCCCGGTGTGGTGCCTTGCTATTCCAGGATTCCTGAGGAAGAGTGTGCCGAGCACACAGAAGTCAGAGAAATGGTCCTTGGGTGTGCGGGCGGTCACTCCTCCCGGTGTCTCATGTGTAGCTTTTGGGCACCTGTCCCTACCTCGTAGCAGGAAACTGTTTATTGGGATTCCCAAAAGTAAGTATTTTAAAAATCATATGGAAAGAATCTTGAATTGAGACTTAAACGTCCTGGATTCTAGCCCAGTTTTGCCGACACCTGACCTTGGGCACAGCACAGCTTTGTCAGCCTGTTTTCTTCTATGCGAGGTGAGCTGTCTGAGCTGGTCAAAATCTCTCTCAAGGATAATATTCTCTGCCTCTGTGAAATCCCAGTGCATGCCTTTCATTTTTGCTCAGTCCATAAAAAAACTTCACTAAAAGCTTTTAATTGTGCCCTTACAGGGCTCAAAGCCCCTGCCTCCAATCCAGGAGCTGGTAGCTCTCAGAGGGCCCTGTTTCTAAGGGGTTGGGCCTAGGTTTATCTTGGTTGTGGGGATGGTCAGCTTGGCCCACGCTCCTGGCCACAGACCAAACCACGGCCATGCCTGGCATCTTCCCTGCAAAGATTGTGTAGAGCAGGCCTGGCGCAGTAGTAAGAACAGCTCTTGACACATCTGCCACTCTCCAAGAACAGCGGTGTAAAGAGCACGGCCTCCCAGTCAATACGCCGACCTCACTTAAAGACAGGACGTGATTAGCTGAGATGTGTTTAGATGTACAGCTACCCTTATTGCATCTGTTTTTACATTTTTAATTATTTAGAATTTGGGTTGCTGAGTCCCTCATAAGTGATTGGTTAGGACAATGAATGCAAGTGGCATAAACAAATGCACCTGATTCTTCACTGGTCATAAAATGAGGGTGACCTGAATTTTTCTTTGTCTGTGTCTGTTACTATTGATCATCATAATGGGAACGATAGCTAGGCTCCTAACCTCACCTCAAAATAATTGCTTCCTGTGTGTATTTATCTAAATGCTAAGCTTAAACAGAACAGATGTGAAATGTCTCAGGCATACTTCCAAATAAATCTTGAGGGGAAAGTAAAGCAAATATTTATAAAGAGCCTCAGAGTTTGCATAATGTTTCCACGTAGTCATATCTTGACAGTGATCATGCCAGAGATCTTCGGGTATTTCCAAGGTCCCTGGCTGAGCATGGTTGTGTGCAGGTTACAGCCTGATCCAGAGGAAAGAGAAATCAGTGGAAATGAGTCAAGATACAAGGTCCGAAGGCCTGGCTCAGCTCTCCACACCCACTGTCCGTAGATGTGTGTCCTTCAGCACGGTCTCATGTAGAATGCTCACTGTTGGCATGGTGGGTACATAAGCTTCAGAGTCAGATCTAATGCTGTGTAGGCAAGTTGCTTAATTCCTCAGAACTGTGATTTCCATACTGACAAAACAAGGGCCATGACAACCACCTCATGGTGTTGTCAGGATTAAATGAGATCATCCATGTGCCAGCACATCCGTAGTCTCAAAGATGTTAATTTCCCTGGTCTTTCACCAGTTGCTTAGCAAGTATATGTGATTAATGCAGGTAAAATTTTACAAAGAGAATTTATTATGCTGTGAAGGAGAGTTGACCAATCAAATCATGTAGGAGGTTTATAATGTTTTATAACATGAAATTCTAGTAAGTACAATCTGTATTATCTGAGAGCAGAACATCTGGTAATGGCAGAATATTTTGCCTTTGTTAATTTCCCTAAAATATTGAGAATTTGTCATGAGAAAGATTATTTCAAGGTAACGCTTATCTTTGGCCTTTTGATCCCAGTGTTTCCCCAGATGTGAGAGTGAGGGATGTGTGGTTCATTAGCAGCAAGGACCACAGGCACAGGAGCTGCCCATTTGCTCAGTCGATCACCTGACAAACCCCCTGTTTCAGCTCCTCGATGAAACCCTCTTCCTGGGCCTCCCTCCCTGAAGATGCTCTTGGTGGAATAAAAACTTCCTGAAGAAGATGCTCATTAGAGGGGAGTATGACTGGTTAGGAAGAAGTTTCTGGAAACTCTTGATATCCCCATTATTAGGGGGGAGTATGGCTGGTTGGGAAGAAGTTTCTGGAAACTCTTGATATCCACGTTATTAGGGGGGAGTATGGCTGGTTGGGAAGAAGTTTCTGGAAGCTCTTCATAGCTCACTTATTAGTAGGGAGTGTGACTGGTTGGGAAGAGGCTTCCGGAAGCTCTTGGGATCCCAAAGAGCTTAGGATGTTTAGCACAGCAGGGGTAGGGAGAGCTGTGTCAGCCTGTTGAGCTGCATGGCTTCTGTGCCGGGTTTCCTTTATGCTAATGGCAATGTGAATTAAACTTTTCTTTTTTTAAAAAATTTCACTTTAAGTTCTGGGATATATGTGCAGAACGTGCAGGTTTATTACATAGGTATTCATGTGCCAGGGTGGTTGCAAATTAAACTTTTCTCTAGACATTTTAGTATCTTACTTTATGTGGTTCCTAATTATTATCTAGTGTTAAGTGTTGCATAAGTATAATTTCTTACTTAGAGTTAAAAATTACAGCTAAAACAAAGTTTCTTCCAATTACTGAGAGAGAGAAAGGGGCTGTGTTCTGAGGCAAGTGGAAGGAAGGACTGGAGGAGAAAAGGAGACTAATAATGTATTTACTGGGCACCCACTGCATGTCAAACACTGTATTTGATTTTTTTTTTTTTTTTTGAGACAGAGTCTCACTCTGTTGCCTAGGCTGGAGTGCAATGATGCAATCTTGGCTCACTGAAACCTGCTTCTCCCAGGTTCAAGTGATTCTCCTGCCTAAGCTTCCCAAGTAGCCAGGATTATAGGCACCTGCCACCATGCCTGGCTAATTTTTGTATTTTTGGTAGAGATGGGGTTTTGCCATGTTGGCCAGGCTGGTCTCAAACTCCTGACCTCCAGTGATCCACCCGTCTCGACCTTCCAGAGTACTAGGATTACAGGCATGAGCCACCGCACCTGGCCCCTTGATTTTTAGTAATGTGGTATCATTTAATGTATACAGTAATCCACAAGGAGGAAGTAAAAATCATGGAGCAAATCCCTGGTGAAATCAGGTTCGAATTTGATTTTTTTCTGCTTCACCAAACTCCCGTCTTTTTTCCTATACTTCTTTGGGCATTTCGGTTCTTCCTGAATTCTCTCTGCTCTCCTTCCTATTCAGTGGTGCCACCGGAGGTTGGTTTGTGATGGTGTCTTTGCAGGAGTGCCAGGTGCCCTGGCCGGGGTCGCCTGAGATCAGGAAGCCTGGGCAGAGATGGTCAGTCACCATGTCTGAGATGGTGAGCTCAGCTGCAGGTTTAGGACGTGTCCACGGGTCCTGCTGGGATTCTGCAGGTCTCAGTGGGGCTGGGCTGGGAATTGCCTTTGGCCTGGCTTGCACACCTGTAGAAATCGTGTGGAAGGAGGCATCATCACCTCCCTTGGCTGCAGCCCATCCTGTTTTGAAGATCAGGTCTCCAGAGACCACAGGAGGAAGAGACAGGCCCAGCACAGTTCTGCCGGACGCCCCCACGACCTTCCCTTGTCCATTTTCCAGCCTCTGTTGTTGAACTACTGGTTTTGTGGTTGCCCTGGAAACTCAGCCAGCAAACAAAATAGACAAACTGCTTATTTGTCAAGATCTTTAGCTTCCTGGTCTTACTGCAGCTCGTGGGAATCCTGCTGTCTTCCCCTTGAATAGTAACCTCAGCTTTTCTGCCTGGAGGTGGGTAATTAGTCCAAGCCGACGACAAGCCCACTCCTTTCACCAAGGCAGTTGCTATTTAAGCGCTTCTCACTTTTACTCACACCGGGTGCTTCCTGTGTGCTGGCTTCTTCCCCAGTTTCCCCCAACATATGACAGATAAAAAGGATCCTCTCTTTCAGCTGTTAATTTCCAACTCACCTAGGATTCTATTACATGTTTTACATATGTGGTCAGCAATATTCTCCGTATGTATTAAGGAGATCAGTGCTTCTCTGTGGCTTCAGTGATATCCATCAAAACAAGTCTGGTTCTCGATGTAGCTTCTAGCACCATTGAATTTTCCTCCATGTGCACCTGACTGGGGAGGAAACTGTCTAAAGGGGCCTAGCATGGTTCTATTCTCATAGGCCCTGATGGGAGTTGCGTTATTTTCTATGGTTTTCACGTTCTTATAGGTTGGTAGCTAATCGCATGATTTTTATGTGGAATGTATTTTCTAAAGAGTATGTATTTAGTACCCTTTAGTATTCAGATAGAGAAATAGGTCCCAAATCACCTTCAGATGCAAAACAGAATTTTATAAGTGTGCATTTTAAAAAGCAAATAGATTTTAGCTTCAGGGTCACTGTGGAATCTAGAAGTGAAACTGAAGCCCTGTAAGTCTCTTGGCAAAGTGTCATTCTTTATTCTTCTCTCCGAAGCTGCAGGTAACACTCAGCCTTAAATTCTCTTATTACCTGCCCAAAGTCATTTCCTTTGGTATTCATTTCACATGAAGGACAGGGATGTGGCGTCTTCTTTTTAATTTGCAGTTTGTTTGGCAACAACAGGCCTTGAAGAAAACCCTCCCGGCTCGGCCTCTGTTCAGCCTTGATCTGGCTTGTCCCTGGGGGTGTCTGGCCTCAGCCTCCTCCCTTCCAGGGTCTGATGTCCCACCCCACGTGGACCTTCTCTCCTGGGCTCCTGCCTCCTGGCCGTGATTTGCCGTGGCTCTGACCTTCCATCTGATGTGTTCCCTGCCTGCCCTGTCCACCTGCCCTCTGGTTCCTGGCCTCCATCTCCACCCTCCCTAGACCCAGGGCCTGTCCCCCGGGGACCTGGTGAGTGCATGGCTCTCCTGACCAATCCTGCTTTTTCTGCATCATTTCCAAGCTCCACTGGTGGCACTGCTGTCCCACAGTCACCTGCATGAGAGCCCCTGGAGTTTCTCAGATGCTTCTCTGTCCTCTGACAATGCAGGTGCCTCTCCACATGCTGTGGATTTTTACCTCTTTTCTTCTCAGGTCACCTCCTCTCCGTCGCTGCCTGCACTGCCTCCGCTCGCGGCTCCCTGGACCTTGTCTCTGCTGTCGAGGGCTCTCCAGGTTGGCCAGGAGACTGTTTTAAAGCACAGATCCCGTCTAGTCAGCCTCCATTGTGACGACCGCAGTGCAGTCCCAGCCTTCAGCCCTGCGCGGCACCACCTTGCCGTGTTCCACACTGGCCTTTGATCAGAGCACTTGGGGGGCTCTCCCGCATGCCACATCAGGGCCCAGCAGTGCTCCCCCGGAGTCCCTCTGGGTTCCCAGGAAGGAGCACCCCTCCCCACTTCACTCACCCACATCCTAACCTCCTCTCCATCAGTGGACGGCTGCTCTCCCAGGGCCTGAGGGAGGGGCTGTCTTCGGGTTTTTTATGCCTGACACCTTATCCATAGTAGACGTCCAAACCTTGCTTGCACCTGAATCGGCCGCACTTGTGTTTTTGGCCTCTCCTGTGTCCTGGGCGGCTTCACTTCCTCTGTCCTCTACATCTGGGGTTCCAGCTGCAGTCGACGGAAATACCAGGATGCAAAGGCTTTGGTACCAACTTTCTCACATGTCATGTGTGATTGTGACCCAGCAGGACGAGCTCTTCCTGCCCTGGGGTCAGGCTCTTAACTGTGTTGAAAGGTAGACATTCCTTGAAGGCTGATATGTATGATTCTGCTCCATCTGGAACCTGAGAAAAGTGAATGATTGACATAATTGCTAAGAGTCTGAAACTGCAATTAGTTTAAAATTTTGAAATTGGCTTAATCTTATGAAATACATAATATTGTTTTTGTATTTTGAGATTCAGAAATTGAGGCTTCCCCAGGGTCCCTGCTAATGACTGGCTATGTGGCTTTGGAGGAAGTCTCTCATGACACCAGCTGCTCTTGTCACTTAAAAAATTATATGATTTTTCTAAGTCTTTTAAAAATAACTGAATTGTAATTTGCATGCAGTGAAATGTCGCTGTTGGGTGTTGGGTTCGATGAGCTCTGAGGAACGTATTCCTCAGAAAGCCTCTCTTGCCGCTCCCAGCCAACCTCCTGGACCACTGTGCCAGCATGATGGCTTCATTACAGATCACTGCTTCCCACTGTAGAATTTCATGAAAGGGGTCATCTACGACTTCAGTGCTGTGTTACCTCCTTTCTATCAGCCTGATGATTTGAGCTCCATCCATGCTGTTGTTTGTATTAGTGGTTCATTCTTTTTGTTGGTGAGAGTATTCCCAACTTTTCACCTGTTATATTTGTGTCGTGATGTTGCCATGTGGGTGCCCAAGTCCTGCGCTGCATGGGAATCGACCTTCTGAAGTTTTCTATGAAAGTGGCCCAGACCCCCTGCACCCCCATACTCGGAGTTCCTGTTCTTCTCTCCCTCCTTGCCCACACCCCCTGCACCCCCATACTCGGAGTTCCTGTTCTTCTCTCCCACCTTGCCCAGACCCCCTGCACCCCCATACTCGGAGTTCCTGTTCTTCTCTCCCACCTTGCCCAGACCCCCTGCACCCCCATACTCGGAGTTCCTGTTCTTCTCTCCCTCCTTGCCCACACCCCCTGCACCCCCATACTCGGAGTTCCTGTTCTTCTCTCCCACCTTGCCCAGACCCCCTGCACCCCCATACTCGGAGTTCCTGTTCTTCTCTCCCACCTTGCCCAGACCCCCTGCACCCCCATACTCGGAGTTCCTGTTCTTCTCTCCCACCTTGCCCAGACCCCCTGCACCCCCATACTCGTAGTTCCTGTTCTTCTCTCCCTCCTTGCCCACACCCCCTGCACCCCCATACTCGGAGTTCCTGTTCTTCTCTCCCACCTTGCCCAGACCCCCTGCACCCCCATACTCGGAGTTCCTGTTCTTCTCTCCCACCTTGCCCGGACCCCCTGCACCCCCATACTCGGAGTTCCTGTTCTTCTCTCCCACCTTGCCCAGACCCCCTGCACCCCCATACTCGGAGTTCCTGTTCTTCTCTCCCTCCTTGCCCGGACCCCCTGCACCCCCATACTCGGAGTTCCTGTTCTTCTCTCCCACCTTGCCCGGACCCCCTGCACCCCCATACTCGGAGTTCCTGTTCTTCTCTCCCTCCTTGCCCAGACCCCCTGCACCCCCATACTCGGAGTTCCTGTTCTTCTCTCCCTCCTTGCCCAGACCCCCTGCACCCCCATACTCGGAGTTCCTGTTCTTCTCTCCCTCCTTGCCCAGACCCCCCTGCACCCCCATACTCGGAGTTCCTGTTCTTCTCTCCCTCCTTGCCCGGACCCCCTGCACCCCCATACTCGGAGTTCCTGTTCTTCTCTCCCTCCTTGCCCAGACCCCCTGCACCCCCATACTCGGAGTTCCTGTTCTTCTCTCCCTCCTTGCCCAGACCCCCTGCACCCCCATACTCGGAGTTCCTGTTCTTCTCTCCCTCCTTGCCCAGACCCCCTGCACCCCCATACTCGGAGTTCCTGTTCTTCTCTCCCTCCTTGCCCAGACCCCCTGCACCCCCATACTCGGAGTTCCTGTTCTTCTCTCCCTCCTTGCCCAGACCCCCTGCACCCCCATACTCGGAGTTCCTGTTCTTCTCTCCCACCTTGCCTGCACCCCCATACTCGGAGTTCCTGTTCTTCTCTCCCACCTTGCCCGGACCCCCTGCACCCCCATACTCGGAGTTCCTGTTCTTCTCTCCCTCCTTGCCCAGACCCCCTGCACCCCCATACTCGGAGTTCCTGTTCTTCTCTCCCTCCTTGCCCAGACCCCCTGCACCCCCATACTCGGAGTTCCTGTTCTTCTCTCCCTCCTTGCCCAGACCCCCTGCACCCCCTGCACCCCCATACTCGGAGTTCCTGTTCTTCTCTCCCACCTTGCCCGGACCCCCTGCACCCCCATACTCGGAGTTCCTGTTCTTCTCTCCCTCCTTGCCCAGACCCCCTGCACCCCCATACTCGGAGTTCCTGTTCTTCTCTCCCTCCTTGCCCAGACCCCCTGCACCCCCATACTCGGAGTTCCTGTTCTTCTCTCCCTCCTTGCCCAGACCCCCTGCACCCCCATACTCGGAGTTCCTGTTCTTCTCTCCCACCTTGCCCACACCCCCTGCACCCCCATACTCGGAGTTCCTGTTCTTCTCTCCCACCTTGCCCAGACCCCCTGCACCCCCATACTCGGAGTTCCTGTTCTTCTCTCCCACCTTGCCCGGACCCCCTGCACCCCCATACTCGGAGTTCCTGTTCTTCTCTCCCTCCTTTGCCCAGACCCCCTGCACCCCCATACTCGGAGTTCCTGTTCTTCTCTCCCTCCTTGCCCAAACCCCCTGCACCCCCATACTCGGAGTTCCTGTTCTTCTCTCCTTCTTGCCCAGACCCCCTGCACCCCCATACTCGGAGTTCCTGTTCTTCTCTCCCACCTTGCCAAACCCCCTGCACCCCCATACTCGGAGTTCCTGTTCTTCTCTCCCACCTTGCCCGGACCCCCTGCACCCCCATACTCGGAGTTCCTGTTCTTCTCTCCCACCTTGCCCGGACCCCCTGCACCCCCATACTCGGAGTTCCTGTTCTTCTCTCCCTCCTTTGCCCAGACCCCCTGCACCCCCATACTCGGAGTTCCTGTTCTTCTCTCCCTCCTTGCCCAGACCCCCTGCACCCCCATACTCGGAGTTCCTGTTCTTCTCTCCCTCCTTGCCCGGACCCCCTGCACCCCCATACTCGGAGTTCCTGTTCTTCTCTCCCACCTTGCCCGGACCCCCTCCACCCCCATACTCGGAGTTCCTGTTCTTCTCTCCCTAAAATGCCCGGACCCCCTGCACCCCCATACTCGGAGTTCCTGTTCTTCTCTCCCTCCTTGCCCAGACCCCCTGCACCCCCATACTCGGAGTTCCTGTTCTTCTCTCCCTCCTTGCCAGACCCCCTGCACCCCCATACTCGGAGTTCCTGTTCTTCTCTCCCTCCTAGCCCAGACCCCCTGCACCCCCATACTCGGAGTTCCTGTTCTTCTCTCCCTCCTTGCCCGGACCCCCTGCACCCCCATACTCGGAGTTCCTGTTCTTCTCTCCCACCTTGCCCGGACCCCCTCCACCCCCATACTCGGAGTTCCTGTTCTTCTCTCCCTCCTTGCCCGGACCCCCTGCACCCCCATACTCGGAGTTCCTGTTCTTCTCTCCCTCCTTGCCCAGACCCCCTGCACCCCCATACTCGGAGTTCCTGTTCTTCTCTCCCTCCTTGCCCAGACCCCCTGCACCCCCATACTCGGAGTTCCTGTTCTTCTCTCCCACCTTGCCCACACCCCCTGCACCCCCATACTCGGAGTTCCTGTTCTTCTCTCCCACCTTGCCCGGACCCCCTCCACCCCCATACTCGGAGTTCCTGTTCTTCTCTCCCACCTTGCCCACACCCCCTGCACCCCCATACAAAGATTCCATGTTCTTCTCTCCCTCCTTGCCCAGACCCCCTGCACCCCCATACTCGGAGTTCCTGATCTTCTCTCCCTCCTTGCCCAGACCCCCTGCACCCCCATACTCGGAGTTCATGTTCTTCTCTCCCACCTTGCCCGGACCCCCTGCACCCCCATACTCGGAGTTCCTGTTCTTCTCTCCCTCCTTGCCCAGACCCCCTGCACCCCCATACTCGGAGTTCCTGTTCTTCTCTCCCACCTTGCCCGGACCCCCTCCACCCCCATACTCGGAGTTCCTGTTCTTCTCTCCCTCCTTGCCCAGACCCCCTCCACCCCCATACTCGGAGTTCCTGTTCTTCTCTCCCTCCTTGCCCAGACCCCCTGCACCCCCATACTCGGAGTTCCTGTTCTTCTCTCCCACCTTGCCCGGACCCCCTCCACCCCCATACTCGGAGTTCCTGTTCTTCTCTCCCTCCTTGCCCAGACCCCCTGCACCCCCATACTCGGAGTTCCTGTTCTTCTCTCCCACCTTGCCCGGACCCCCTCCACCCCCTATACTCGGAAGTTCCTTGTTCTTCTCTCCACCTAGCCAGAACCCCCTCCACCCCCATACTCGGAGTTCCTGTTCTTCTCTCCCTCCTTGCCCAGACCCCCTGCACCCCCATACTCGGAGTTCCTGTTCTTCTCTCCCACCTTGCCCGGACCCCCTCCACCCCCATACTCGGAGTTCCTGTTCTTCTCTCCCTCCTTGCCCAGACCCCCTGCACCCCCATACTCGGAGTTCCTGTTCTTCTCTCCCACCTTGCCCGGACCCCCTCCACCCCCATACTCGGAGTTCCTGTTCTTCTCTCCCACCTTGCCCAGTCCCCCTGCACCCCCATACTCGGAGTTCCTGTTCTTCTCTCCCACCTTGCCCAGACCCCCTGCACCCCCTATACTCGGAGTTCCTGTTCTTCGCTCCCTCCTTGCCCAGACCCCCTGCACCCCCATACTCGGAGTTCCTGTTCTTCTCTCCCTCCTTGCCCAGACCCCCTGCACCCCCATACCCGGAGTTCCAGTTCTTCTCTCCCTCCTTGCCCAGACCCCCTGCACCCCCATACGCTCAGTCCCTTCTTCTCTCCCTCCTCAGCCGGACCCCCTGCACCCCCATACTCGGAGTTCCTGTTCTTCTCTCCCACCTGGCCCGGACCCCCTCCACCCCCATACTCGGAGTTCCTGGTCTTCTCTCCGTCCCTTGCCCAGACCCCCTGCACCCCCATACTCGGAGTTCCTGTTCTTCTCTCCCACCTTGCCCGGACCCCCTCCACCCCCATACTCGGAGTTCCTGTTCTTCTCTCCCTCCTTGCCCAGACCCCCTGCACCCCCATACTCGGAGTTCCTGTTCTTCTCTCCCACCTTGCCCGGACCCCCTCCACCCCCATACTCGGAGTTCCTGTTCTTCTCTCCCACCTTGGCCAGACCCCCTCCACCCCCATACTCGGAGTTCCTGTTCTTCTCTCCCACCTTGCCCAGACCCCCTGCACCCCCTGCACCCCCATACTCGGAGTTCCTGTTCTTCTCTCCCACCTTGCCCGGACCCCCTCCACCCCCATACTCGGAGTTCCTGTTCTTCTCTCCCTCCTTGCCCAGACCCCCTGCACCCCCATACTCGGAGTTCCTGTTCTTCTCTCCCACCTTGCCCGGACCCCCTCCACCCCCATACTCGGAGTTCCTGTTCTTCTCTCCCGCCTTGGCCAGACCCCCTCCACCCCCATACTCGGAGTTCCTGTTCTTCTCTCCCACCTTGCCCAGACCCCCTGCACCCCCATACTCGGAGTTCCTGTTCTTCTCTCCCACCTTGCCCGGACCCCCTCCACCCCCATACTCGGAGTTCTTGATCTTCTCTCCTACCTTGCCCAGACCACATGCACCCCCATTCTCAGAGTCCCTGTTCTCCTCTCCATCTTGACCAGACTCCCTGCTCCCCCATACTCGGAGTTCCTGTTCTTCTCTCCCTCCTTGGACAGACCCCCTGCCCCCCATACTCGGAGTTCCTGTTCTTCTCTCCCACCTTGCCCGGACCCCCTCCACCCCCATACTCGGAGTTCCTGTTCTTCTCTCCCACCTTGGCCAGACCCCCTCCACCCCCATACTCGGAGTTCCTGTTCTTCTCTCCCACCTTGCCCAGACCCCCTGCACCCCCATACTCGGAGTTCCTGTTCTTCTCTCCCACCTTGCCCGGACCCCCTCCACCCCCATACTCGGAGTTCCTGTTCTTCTCTCCCTCCTTGCCCAGACCCCCTGCACCCCCATACTCGGATTTCCTCTTCTTCTCTCCCACCTTGCCCGGACCCCCTGCACCCCCATACTCGGAGTTCCTGTTCTTCTCTCCCTCCTTGCCCGGACCCCCTGCACCCCCATACTCGGAGTTCCTGTTCTTCTCTCCCTCCTTGCCCAGACCCCCTGCACCCCCATACTCGGAGTTCCTGTTCTTCTCTCCCTCCTTGCCCAGACCCCCTGCACCCCCATACTCGGAGTTCCTGTTCTTCTCTCCCACCTTGCCCGGACCCCCTCCACCCCCATACTCGGAGTTCCTGTTCTTCTCTCCCTCCTTGCCCAGACCCCCTGCACCCCCATACTCGAAGTTCCTGTTCTTCTCTCCCTCCTTGCCCAGACCCCCTGCACCCCCATACTCGGAGTTCCTGTTCTTCTCTCCCACCTTGCCCGGACCCCCTCCACCCCCATACTCGGAAGTTCCTGTTCTTCTCTCCCACCTTGCCCGGACCCCCTCCACCCCCATACTCGGAGTTCCTGTTCTTCTCTCCCACCTTGCCCAGACCCCCTCCACCCCCATACTCGGAGTTCCTGTTCTTCTCTCCCACCTTGCCCAGACCCCCTGCACCCCCATACTCGGAGTTCCTGTTCTTCTCTCCCACCTTGCCCGGACCCCCTCCACCCCCATACTCGGAGTTCCTGTTCTTCTCTCCCTCCTTGCCCAGACCCCCTGCACCCCCATACTCGGAGTTCCTGTTCTTCTCTCCCACCTTGCCCAGACCCCCTGCACCCCCATACTCGGAGTTCCTGTTCTTCTCTCCCTCCTTGCCTGGACCCCCTGCACCCCCATACTCGGAGTTCCTGTTCTTCTCTCCCACCTTGCCCAGACCCCCTCCACTCCCATACTCGGAGTTCCTGTTCTTCTCTCCCATCTCCAGGAACTTCCAGGGGCGTTTGTTTCTGCTGGTCATCTCAGCTCGTGTTCTCCTATTGCTGATGCCTGGTGTGTATCCTTTCTCCTGTATCAAGCGTCTCCTTCATGGGCGATTCTGCCATTTAGCCTGAGAGGACGTCAGTACACTCGTGCCTCTCAGGGATATTTATATTTCAACATAGTGGCCAGAGGAGCAGTTCTCTAGATGCAGACTTTAAGACACCATGCAAGCAAACTGATTGGCTTTTTTTTTTTTTTTTTTTTTTTGGTGTGTGTTTGTATTTTTGCTTTCTGTTGAGGGCCTTTCTAGGGCCTTTGATAATACACCAGTTAGCTGTGTCGTTTCAGCTACTTAGAGGCTTGACTCTAATAGCAGATCCCGGCTGGTAATTTTCCCTTTTTGGTTTGTAATTGTGGAGTAGACTTAGTATAGAGAATGAAAGTGCTGTTTATTAGTATACTTTTGTATTTACACTCTAGCAGTGCACTTAAACCCAGCAGGCGTTGCGTAGACAGTACTATGGTGGTTTTTGGATGAGACTGGTGTTTTCGTATTAGAAATCGCCACTGCACTACAATGTCATTAGTGATTATTATTGGGGAGTTTTGCGAAGTAGATAGAAATTATTTTGACCTAAACATCCTTATGGTGTTTTGTTTTGTTTTATTTTTTGAGTTGGAGTTTCACTCTTGTTGCCCAGGCTGGAGTGCAGTGGCGCGATCTCGGCTCACTGCAACCTCCGCCTCCCAGATTCAAGCGATTCTCCTGCCTTAGCCTCCCGAGTAGCTGGGATTACAGGCATGGGCCACCATGCCTGGCTAATTTTGTATTTTTAGTAGAGACGGGTTTTCTCCATGTTGGTCAGGCTGGTCTCGAACTCCCGACCTCAGGTGATCCGTCTGCCTCAGCCTCCCAAAGTGCTGGGATTACAGGCATGAGCCACTGCACCCAGCCTGGTGTTTTTTAATAACGGTTGTCTCTGGGAGTTTTCCAAGGCTCCAGATCCTCAAGAACAGTGCTCTTAACTTGTCTAATTCTGCACCTGTGCTGCTTCCTAGAACACGGTAGGTGGGAGGGCTTGGGATGGATGCATCCTTGCCTTTTAAGATGCATTTACACACAGGGGCTGGAACTCAGCTCTGTAGGAGATGGCGTGATCCATCATCATATGACTGCTGGGCATTGGAGAGAGCCTGAATAGTTACAGGTCAGACCTGCTCCCTTGCTGGCAATGAAGCAAGTCCCCAAAGTGTGATTCAAGTTCCATATCACAGCAGACGAAGAGTCATTCAGCTCCAGTTTACGGACTGCTGGGGTATTTTACACTTGAGTGCATTTTGCTTTAATGACCTAGGAAATAGAATGTCTAAGGAAAATCGGACAACGGTGGTACAGTTGGCATCACGGGGGCAGGGCACATATTTAGTACCTGAAATAGGTATTCTTCAACTTACCTTTCAAGGTTCTGGAATAGATTCTAATGCTGTTCTGTTCAGGTTAACAGTCTCAGAGTCCATAAACATGTCTGTAAATTATTGAGCAAATGAAAAGGAATACATAAAATTGTTTTTATTGCCTCAGACAGTCTTTTAATTGGGTAATATTGAAAAAATCACATTTTTTCACATTATACTGTATAAAGCAGTATAATTTTTTCACATTACCGTATAAAACAACTGTTTTGTGGGAGGAAGTGGGTGAGGTTGGAAGTGTGTTGCACTTAGAATAAGCACTCTGGTTTCTGTGACATCAGTTTTTTGATTTTTAAGAAGTTAAAATCCAACTGCAGTTGATAGAAACATCTTTTGATGTCAATGAAATATTATAGTAACTTTGTAATTAAACATTTTATTTCTTGAAAGATGTTTCTAATTAACAGTGATTTATATTCCACACAATCAAAAACCAAGTCTCATTATGATTTAATAGTTTTCGTCTTATAGTTTGCATTGCTGGATTTTAGTATTTCCATTACATATATGCATAACCATAGCCCTTCCAAATAGAATTTGTACCACAAATGTCAGCCATGCTGTGCTTAGTTATAGGAAGAATCTCCCCTGTCCCCCTTAGGAAGTGGCATGCACATATTTCTATTCAAGATCTAAGATGGCTAACACACCAGAAACAGAAGTGACTCAGCATGGGTTGTTTACAAGCAGCAACTGTTTCAGTTAGAAAAATACTAAAATAGTTTGAATCTTATTTATGAAAAGTAGAAGTGGTTGCCATAAATTAGGTTCCCCCTGTTTGGTGATGCTGGGGTGCTAACAGCATAGAGACTTGGGGAAGTGAGACGTGTCTCTCCATGGAGGGTTAAGCTTATGGCTTCACAGGTGGGCTGGGGGAAGCAGGAGACTAAAGAAAAGATGGGATTTTTGTTTTCTTTGGCTGTAGTGCAGGCAGGAACCAAATAGGCTCCTGGCACCTGAACATCCCTCCCTTTTCCATGTGGTTCTGAAGTCAGCAAAGGCAAGGCCATTGTCAGTTACTTATCTGGAATTAGACTCAGGAGAAATCCAACCACAACACCGTTTAAAGTAGTTCCTCAGACCAGTATGCTGTGTTCTTCTGGCTCCAGGGACCACTCCCCTCTGTTCCTCTCCACTCCAGAGCTGAGAGAGGACTCACAGAAGGCAGGAACTCTCTGGCTAGACCAAAGCCTTCTTTACTTATAGTAACTTTTCTTTGATTGTGAGATGGAGGCTGTGAGTTACTTCCCCAGAATCACTCAGGTTTCTTTCTGGGGGGGTCATTCCTGTCGTTTAGAGACTACAGAGCTCTTCTCCGAGGGCCCCAGTGTCACCATGGGAACAGGGAAGAAATGGCGTCTGAGCAGGGTGTGGATCCCGTGTCCTCAGCGTGTGTGCTTTGAGCAAAGCAAAGGCCGTTCTGGAGGCTGCTGGCTCCCGTGCTGAAGGAACATTGTGTTAGGGTGGAGTGGCCGGAGGCTCAGGTTTGTGCCTGTCGATGGGATGTGGCTACATTAATGAAAGTCCTTCCGTGAGTGAGGCTGTTTGTTCTCAGTTCTCTCATGATGGAGAGACAAGTTTCGTTATCAACCTTATGAATATAAAAGGATCTTTGCAGAAGGTTTTGTCTGTTCAGTAGTTTTCAGCCTTTAAAATATTCCATGGAATGAAACCCCCTCAAGTTAATCGTCATCATTCACTGTTTAATACTCAGTTCTCCAGCCTGTGTTGATTGCTGGCCTAGTTGAAGAGGAAGTGAGGAGAATCATAAGTGTGAGTTAATATGCGTGGCAGACATCTATCTAAACAGTAGTAGAGCTGGTTTCTTCTGAGAAAGCCCCCAAGAACTTACACATAGATTTTAAAGCTGCCACCTTCCCACAAGTCACACTGTGACTCACCATTTTTAGAATTTCGCTTTGGAACCCTTCATAGACCAGGAATCTATCTGGAGGTACATTAATCTTATCTCATGTGGACAACAATGTATGATGGAAGGCATTGATTGCTGTGTTTTTCAGCAGTAGGAGAATAGAGAAAGTATAATATACATGCATGTGACGGACTGTTTTGTTCATTGTATGAAAATTGAGAAAAAAACAAGTTATAGAATAGCATGATCCTAATTTTGTAAACTATCTCATGATCCTCAGTTTCTGAGTAGAATTCACTTAGCAACAGCATGCTTTGGGAACTTAAATTTTCAGACTGAAATATTAACCCCTACTGATTTACATGGGAAATGAATTAAAATATTGAAATTAATTCATGAAAATTACAAAATATTACATTCAAAAATGCTATTTAAATATCTGGGGAGCCCGGATCATTTTACTTGATACTTTTCCCCTGTCCTTTTTAGATTATCTTTTTTTAAATGAAAAGATACACATGTTATAAGACATTGAACCAATATAGAAAACTACAGAGAAGACAACAACTGATCACAAAGCCTTCTACTCCTCAGGAGTAACCATCATTCACTACCAAACACACACAGTATAAAATGTAGAAGCACTTCATTAAACGGGATGATACTCTGTGGTATTTTAAAATAAAGCATAAAATGTAACTATTTGATTTTAATAAAACTAATAAATTGACTTGAAAAATGGAACTCATTCCTATGCTTCACACAAACGTTTGTTCATCCCAGTAAACATAATTCTTTAAAAGCCTAAGAATAAAGAAAGAGAAAATTTAAAACAATATAATTTTTGAAAAATGAAAGTACTATTCCTGCGTTTTCTCGTGCATTTTCTCCTCTACCACAAAAAGTTAAATTTGCTTATACCTATGCATACATACAAACACGCATACACGTGTGCATACATACACACATACACACAAACACACATACACACATGCATAAACACCCATGCACATGCATGCATACAAACATGCACACACACCCATGCATACAGACAAACACATCACACATGCATACACGCATGCATGTACATGCACAAACACGTGCACACAAACATGCATAGACATGCACACAAACATGCATAAACATGTGCATACAGTCATACACAGAAACATATACACATGCATGTGCACACACCCGTGTCTGCACAGAAACATACACACGTGTATGAACACAAACATGCATACACATGTGCATACACAACACACATACACACATGTATACACACAAATGTGCATGCACACATAAATACACACATACACATGCATGCATGCACACACGGGTTGGCACTGCTCCATCTGTGTCATGTCATACAACTCCTCAGCTCCTACAGAGGCTCATCTTTACTTTTAGTCAGTTTATCTAGACAGATAGACAGGGTCTTGCTCTGTCACCCAGGCTGGAGTGCAGTGGCGTGGTCCTAGCTCACTGCCGCCTTGAACTCCTGGGCTCAAGCTATCCTCCCACCTCTGCCTCCTTCATGGCTGGGACTACAGGTGTGAGCCACTATGCCCAGCTAATTTTTTTTTTTTTTTTCTAGAGATAGGATCTCACTGTGTCACCCAGGTTGATCTTGAATTCCTGCGCTTAAGCAGTCCTCCCACCTCAGCCTCTCAAAGTGCTGGGATTACAGATGCCAGCCACCATGCCTGACCTCATCTTTTTTACTTTGATCTCTTTGCTGGTCAGTTTTATTATTGAGTTGTTCTTTTCTGCATGGGTCATGAGGGTTTGCTTCACGATTTCTTCCTAGGTGAGAATGCCTGCCCTTTGCTCTTATAATCTGAGGAAAACTTGGGTTCTTTTAAATGTTTGGCTCATACCCTTTCTTTCCTTGGAGCTTGAATATACTGTTTCACTGTCCTCATAACAGCAGTCTTTATACTGTGTATATTTTGGGGGAACTGGAATGTGTTGTGGCATCCCTGTCTCCAGTGCAGGGGCCTGGGTTTCTGTTTCCTGCATTGTTCATGTGTGAAGCCACAGCTGCTGTTATCCTGAAGGATACGTGGGCTGGTTGTAGCATGCTTGGGTCATGTTACCTGTAGAATCCTGAGATGAACATTGCTGCCTCCAGATGAACCATACCAGGTTAGCTTCTTCCTCCATGCTGTGCCTATGTGATTGATCATGTTCTTAAAAATATGTATTTAAAGCTTAACCTAGTTAGGACATTTTCTGATATTTGTTATTCTGCACAAAGTTGAGAGTACAGTTAGTGCACCTGTCCAGTCCCCTCCTCACGCCAGAGATACTTTCTCCTCCCGTGTCGGTGGAGCTGTTTTGTCTCCTGCTTGTTTTCATTTGGTGTTGTCCTTTGCTGCTGCTTCTCTGGCTGTGCCTGTGACCCTTCCTGTGTATTCCCCTTTCCATCTCCTGTTACCTCTTCTCTCACTTTTCTCATCTTCTTTCCCTTGTTGAATTTAAGGTGATTATTTTGAATCTTCTATGTCAAGAATTTTCCTGTGCTTTGTATTTTGTTTTGATAGTTGCTGTCCTGATTTACCTCTTGGTCTTGTGGTGGTGGTTTTTCTTTTTTTTTTTTTTTCCCGATGGAGTGTCGGTCTGCCAGTCAGGCTGGAGTGCAGTGGTGCAATCTCGGCTCACTGCAAACTCCACCTTGTAGGCTCAAGTGATTCTCCTGCCTCAGCCTCCTGAGTAGCTGGGATTACAGGCGCCTGCCATCATGCCTGGCTCATTTTTTTGTATTTTTAGTAGAAATGGGGTTTCACCATGTTTGCCAGGATGGTCTCAATCTCTTGACCTCGTGATCCACCTGCCTGGGCCTTCCGAAGTGCTGGGATTATAGGCGTGAGTCACTGCACCCGGCTGGTGGTGTGGTTTTAATACTCAGTTGAGTTCCTTTCCTGTGCAATTTCTTTTTTCATCTCTTTTATTATCTCATTTTCAAGTTCTTGCCCTGTTGAATTAATGTGCTTGCTAAGGATTTTCTCTAGAGCAGACAGATCCGGGTGGAGGTGGTTTTCTTTTGCACTGGATTTTCTCTAGAGCAGACAGATCCGGGTGGAGGTGGTTTTCTTTTGCTCTGGATTTTCTCTAGAGCAGACAGATCCGGGTGGAGGTGGTTTTCTTTTGCACTGGATTTTCTCTAGAGCAGAGAGATCCGGGTGGAGGTGGTTTTCTTTTGCACTGGATTTTCTCTAGAGCAGACAGATCCGGGTGGACGTGGTTTTCTTTTGCACTGGATTTTCTCTAGAGCAGACAGATCCGGGTGGAGGTGGTTTTCTTTTGCACTGGATTTTCTCTAGAGCGGACAGATCCAGGTGGGGGTGGTTTTCTTTTGCACTGGATTTTCTCTAGAGCGGACAGATCCGGGTGGGGGTGGTTTTCTTTTGCACTTGATGTTCTCTAGAGCGGACAGATCCGGGTGGAGGTGGTTTTCTTTCGCACTGGATTTTCTCTAGAGCGGAAAGATCTGGGTTGGGGTGGTTTTCTTTTGCACCGGATTTTCTCTAGAGCAGACAGATCCGGGTGGGGTGGTTTTCTTTTGCACTGGATTTTCTCTAGAGCGGACAGATCCGGGTGGGGGTGGTTTTCTTTTGCAATGGATTTTCTATAGAGCGGACAGATCTGGGTGGGGTGGTTTTCTTTTGCACTGGTGTCTAGATTTGGTTTTTGCATGTGGTGTTCCATTTACGGATGCATTTTTGTTATCCTAATTGCTCTGTTATTACTTTTCCTCTTGGTTATGAACTGTCCGGTATTACTGTTTGCTTTGATGTGGATAAATTCTTCTCCAAGGTATTTTTGTAGCCTTGATCTTTACTCAACGTCGACTGCAGGGGCGTTGGGGGTGAGGAGGGTGACGGTGTGGAGGTGGCTCCTCAAGACTCCAAGCAGCCTCTGTGGATGGCCTGCTTCTCTTCTGCGATGTGTGTGGACAGGTGTGGGGGGAGAGGAGAGGGAGACCTTGCTCATCGGGTGCTGATTCTTGGTTCCATGCGGCGTCCGAGAGTGCCTGGGAGCAGGTGAAACTCCCCTCCAGGGATTTCCTCAGTGTAGGCAGGAGTGCCGCTCACCCTGTTCGCTGTGCCATTTAAAATCAGGAGGTGTCGATGACATTTGCAGGCTATTGTTGATAGTTTCCACTCACTTCTCTGAGTGGCAATGACAGAGGGAATCACAATTTCTCCACTCTCTTCTTTTGATATAAAACATTTATTCATGAGTGTGTGCCCCTTTTTCTTGTATGCTTGCTGCTATAGATAATGTTTTTGGAGGAGACTGGAGAGCTTTGACTATTTTTCACATTGTATTGTGATCAGGACAGGGTTGTACTGCACACAGCCTTTCTCCACTGGCTCTGTCAGAAGCCTGAGAACTTGACATCATTTTATCGAGAAGTCTGCCGAGCAGTTTTTGAACAAAAACATAAGTTTGTGTTACGTCCATGTATTCATTTATGTCTAATTTTTATCCTTTTTAGGCCAACATTTTGACAAACTTAAAGTAATATTTATAATCTCTCAAACTTTTCATCTAGAAAATGTTTTTGTGTCCTGATACTATTATTGATGAGAGCAAATGCTTTTGATTATAAAACACTGTAATAATTAAAATATTGAGGAAGGTGTCATGAAACCTCAAACGAAAGTTACGGAGAAATGATTGGAAAAAACCGAATTGCTCTTAAGTGCAAAACAGAGGTAATATTTTAGAACTACATTTATTTTAGCTATAGCATTCAAAGTAATATTGATGTTATAGAAGTTGCCAAGTCCCATGAGTCTGGCAGCAAGCCATTTATCTTTTTCTCTACTATTGCTGTAACGTACACACACATTTGAATGTCCTTCCTCCACTCCCCCAAATTTCCATTACAATTTCAAGAACAAGGAACAAGGAAGAAATCTTGACACTCAGAACAGATCCTGGCCTGAGGGTCTGGGGGATAATGCTGCTGATGCTTTGAGGCTCAAGAAAGGGCTTGGTTTGAAAAGTGATCCCTGTTAAAGCGTGTTTGAGCTTAAAAATGGTCATATGAACCGGGCGAATTGACTCTTTTCTGAAAGGTTTTAATTTTCCTACACAATATACGATACGGGCACTTAGCATATTCTGGGACTGTGCTACCTGTTTACATAGATTTCCTCAATTGTCTTCCACCTGCTTAAATGAACGATGATGCCTATCCCTTTCCGCAGATGAAGACCCCCAGGCCCAGGGAATTCGATCACTGGCTGAGAACTCACAGCTAAGGAGGGGGAGCCTGGGATTCCTTCCTGGTGCTCACACCCGAGACCCTTTTGTCACTGTGTTCAAAGGCACTGCTGCACAGACGTGATTCTTCTTTCAACGAACATCTCCAGGACTTCCTCCGGGGTCTGTGACCTCATCTATAATTAAAGGGAAAGAGATCTTCCTGAGATTAGCCCATTTAACTTGTTTAACTAGATGCATGCTGCAAAAACTGTTTTCAAGAAATGAACAATTGACTATTTAAAAAGAGCCAAGCCTTAAAAGAAGACCAGGTTTTAATAGGGAAAACATTCAGTAAAATATTATTCTGCAGTAACTTGTGGAATGACTGCTGTACACACAGCTCTGGGCTGGGTACCTGGAAGCTCACGAGCTTGTTTGGCCTCCCCTCCTGGACACAGGAGGTGTCAAGGCTGTGGTCAGCAGAATCTACCCAGCTGGACACTGAGTGGACGCCCTGTGGGGTGGCTGTGAAATGGGTCCACTTTGTAGTGGCAGCATCCCTGATAGTACTTCTGAAAGGGACAAGATAGAAAAGCAAACCAAACTGAAACTGAGAAGTCGTGGATGATACCAGGGGCGCACAGTGGCTGACAGGAAGAGACTGCCTGGGGGGTCTCGGAGCCAGTGGCTGGAGTGGAGTTAGTTTGACCGAGTCCTGGACTAGGGAGGGGACCCCCAAAGCATGCCCAGCATGGCGCTAGTGGGGCCCAGGCACCCCATGTCCCAACGACTAGAACCAATAATCAGGTTAACACTCATTAAATAAGAAGTGTCTGTGCCTCCTGGGATAAAAATCCTTTATAACGATCTGGGACGCGAGCTCAAGTCCCTGTTCCCTTGTCCTCCACAGCAGTGTGCAGCGTGGAACTCGGCGGTTCGGGGTCCCTGAGTCCCTGAGCCACTGTCTACCCCCTGCTCCATCCCAAATGCAGAGACCCCTGAGCACTCATGTGGACATGCCCCACCATGCCCTGGCTGCTCCTTCAGGATGGCGCAGGGCCACCGCTATGGGAGGACTCTAAAGGGTGGGTCTCAAGCCCTCCTCTGCTTACCCTAAATCAGGAGAGCAAACCGAATGCACTGCCCTCTTCCTTCACTCCTGCATCCCATCCCCCGCTATGGCCTCACTATCAGGTGGGCATCTGTGCTCCTAGTTTTCATGGGTGGCCCGACGGGGGCTGCAGAAAGTTCATGCATCGCATCACCCATCAGTGTAAGGTGCAGTGATCCTGCCACATGTGTCTTTGTCACAGGTCACTAGATTAAAGGCTAATATATCCATGGGTGGATGGAATATTTATTTGGCCAAATTGTTGTCTAACAATCCATTGGTTTTGGTTATCTATTGCTGAATAATAAGCCATCTCAACATTTAGTAAGCAGTGAGCATTGGTTGAAGCCACTGTTCCTGATGGCCAAGGTTGCCCAGGCTCAGCTGGGCGGCTCTTCTGCTCTGTGATGTGAGCTGGGGCTGAGCATCTGGAGATTTGACTGGGCAGTCAGGCACTCACTCACACAGGGCAGGTGGGGCTGGCTGTCAGCTTGTAGCTCATCTAGGGCTGTTGTCTGAGCGCCTGGATTCTCTCTCATGAGACCTGTCCAGCACCTTGGTCCCCCCATACCCCAGAATGGTGGCTCGGCCCTAAGTGGGAACCATTGAGTTAATGATGACATGACATTCTATCAAGAGATGATACCACAAGCCATACAGACATTTCTTACTTGTGTTTTTGTCATCATGTTTCAGCTTGTTTTAGCTTGGTGTCCCCCTCCCAAAAGATTGTAAATTATTCCAGTGCCAGGAATATATTTATTTCAATTCTTTTTTACCATTTTTTTTATTCTCTTGATGTTGCCTGGCACAAAATAATTGCCCGATACATGTTAGGACAGAAGTGACATTTGGATTGTTTCCGATCTTTTGGCTTTTATAGTATTAAAACAAAAATTTAATTTCCTAAAGCTTTTTCCATACAAATTAAAATTCCCCTAGAATTGTTCCTACAAATGGAAACACTGGCTCTAAGTATATGAATGTTGTAGACTTGCAATACACACTTCCAAGCTGCTTTTTCTCTAGGGACCACACATATTTATGTTGCCATTGGCAAGCGTGACAGAAACCTCCCAAGCAGCTTAACCAGCATTTGGCCACTTTAATTTTGTCTTTTATCTTCATAAATTTGGTAAGCTACAGTGACATTTTATTGCTTTAATTTGCATTTTGAGATTATTACCTGCTGTTTCAAATAGGTGAGCTCTACTTTTTCAAATACACGTCCAGATTTGGCTTGACTTGGAGTATTATATTCAAAATAGAGTCGGCCACAATCAGGGTTGGAAGTACCTAAGTTGTCATCTGGAATCTCCCTTTGGCCTCACGACTCTCTTGAGTTTCAGACCCTCCTGTATAGTGCCTGTGAAGGGATCGGATTGTGTCCACAGCTCGCACACTGAGCCTCTGGCTCAGTCACAGCTTAGAAGTGGTTACCAACTTAATTTCATTTTCTTAGGAAGGTGGGAGTGTCTCCAGTATGTGCGGCATCTTTCTCAGCTGGGAGGTCGGCTTCACACCAGTAGGTCGAGCCCTGTCTTCACTGCGCTCTGCCCTTGGTGGAGAGACCCCCGTGGCCCAGTATTGCAGCTGAAGTGTCCATGTCAAGGCATTATCATATGTTTTGTATCCTCAACTGTAGCAAAATGAAAATGTGATGCAGTGGGCAGAACTCAGGCAGGAGGGGGCTGCTGTCCGGCACCATGCAGGAAGGCTGCGTGGCAGCAGGGATGGTCACAGGCACACACAGGGCCCTGGCTTTTTGGCTGGGTCTTGTGTAGTGGTTGAATGAGATGTGACCATGGAGGGCAATGAGTGAAGAGCACACAGAAACTCTGTCTTCCACTGCCCTTGTGTCTTCCTGTGGATGGATCGTTATTTCCAAAGAAAAGATCGAAAGTAGTGTCACTGGTGCATCTATGTGGAGTTCCTGGCCCACTGATTGAGGCTACTGACCTCACCTACAGTTTGGAGCCCTTTCTGTTTTCCCAAAATACATTTGCTTGGCCTTGAGGGAACAGCTGTGGAGCTTGTGTTCTTGGAGTGAATCAGCCTTCCTGTGACTTCTACTCAGAAAGTCTGCAGAGAATGTCATAGAAAAGGGAGCCGCGTCCTTAGCAAGGCAGCCCGTCAAATAGTTGATGCCCATGTTGTTTCCTGTATTCAAAACAACTCCACTTGTTTTTTTTTTTTTTTTTTTTTGAGATGGGGTCTTGCTCTGTCACCCAGGCTGGAGTGCAGTGGTGCAGTGACAGCTCACTGCAGCCTCAACCTCCTGGCCTCAAGTGATTCTCTTGTCTTGGCCTCCCAGATAGCTGGGACTACAGGTGTGTGCCACCATGCCCAGCTTGCCCAGCTAATTTTTTTTTTTTTTTGGTAGAGATGAAGTTTCAATTTGTTGCCTAGGCTGGTCTCAAATTCCTAGGTTCAAGTGATTCTCCTGCCTTGGACTCCCAAAGTGCTGGTATTACAGGCATGAGCCACCGCTCCTAGCCCTACATCCCCAGTGTTTAAGCCATGCCTTGTGCCCTGGGAACTGCAGACACCAATCTGGATAATCTCTCTTGTACTTGTATTGAGTGTCCCTGTTGAAATTCAATGACCCAAATAATACCTTCAGGGAATGTGCTCCAGATGTCCCATGACTGGCAGAACCAGAACTTACGTAACGGGGAGTGAGGGAGATCAAAGAAATCTCACACCCTGGTCTGGCGCGGTGGCTCACGTCTGCTGAGGCGGGCAAATCACGAGGTCAAGAGATCAAGACCATCCTGGCCAACATGGTGAAACCCTGTCTCTACTAAAAATACAAAAATTAGCTGGGTGTGGTGGCGGGCACCTGTAATCACAGGTACTCGGGAGGCTGAGGCAGGAGAATCACTTGAACCAGGGAGTCTGACGTTGCAGTGAGCCGAGATCGCACCACTGCACTCCAGCCTGGGCAACAGAGCGAGACACCATCTCAAAAAGAAAAGAAGAAATCTCATGCCCCACCATCCCCCAACCCCTGAAAAAGATGGACAACTGTGCTATGCTTCTGGGGAGGATTGTGCCTTTATCACATCGAGGACGCCATGTGTCTGAAGTCTCAGAATACGGTCCTTTATCACGTCAGGGGTGCCCTGCGTCTCAAGTCTCGCGAGGTGGTCCTTTATCACGTCGGGGACACCATGTGTCTGAAGTCTCGGGATGTGGTCCTTTATCACGTCGGGGGCGCCCTGCATCTCAAGTCTTGGTATGTGGTCCTTTATCACATCGGGGACACCGTGTGTCTCAAGTCTCAGGATGTGGTCCTTTATCATGTCAGGGACACCGTGTGTCTCAAGTCTCAGGATGTCCTTTATCACGTCGGGGGCGCCCTGCGTCTCAAGTCTCGGGATGTGGTCCTTTATCACGTCGGGGACACCATGTGTCTGAAGTCTCGGGATGTGGTCCTTTATCACGTCGGGGGCGCCCTGCGTCTCAAGTCTCGGGATGTGGTCCTTTATCACATCAGGGACACCGTGTGTCTCAAGTCTCAGGATGTGGTCCTTTATCATGTCAGGGACACCGTGTGTCTCAAGTCTCAGGATGTCCTTTATCACGTCGGGGGCGCCCTGCGTCTCAAGTCTCGGGATGTGGTCCTTTATCACGTCGGGGACACCATGTGTCTGAAGTCTCGGGATGTGGTCCTTTATCACGTCGGGGGCGCCCTGCGTCTCAAGTCTCGGGATGTGGTCCTTTATCACGTCGGGGACACCGTGTGTCTCAAGTCTCAGGATGTGGTCCTTTATCACGTCAGGGACACCGTGTGTCTGAAGTCTCGGGATGTGGTCCTTTATCACGTTGGGGACACCTTGTGTCTGAAGTCTCAGAATACGGTCCTTTATCATGTCGGGGACGCCGTGTGTCTGAAGTCTCAGGATATGGTCCTTTATCACGTCGGGTATGCCGTGTATATGAAGTCTCGGGATGTGGTCCTTTATCATGTCGGGGACACCGTGCATCTCAAGTCTTAGGATACGGTCAGTCCCACACTCTTCACGTGTCTGCACGGGTTGTCTCTGTGACTGCTGTGATTTCCTGGAGGGGTTTGCTGGAGGACCTGGCCAGCCGCTCTCAGGTGCCCACGTCTCACTCTGGTGACTTCTGTGTGCTGTAACCAAGGGGGAGTGAAGCAGAAGGAAGACCAGCATTTTCCTGCTACCTTTGAATATTGGCCATCATGGCCCATTTTACCAAGCCCTTCAGGCAAGAGCAAGTCAGCTGACTTACATCCCAGGAGGGAAAGATGTGTCTCTAACTAAATCCTAGGGAGGCAAGGCCAGCGGATGTACACGAAGCCATGTGGCCATAGTCTGGCATGCTCCCTTTAAGGCTGAAGGCACCAGTGGTCCAGTGGTGGTCTTCTCTATGGGTAGTTTTTTTTTTTGGGGGGGGGATCTTCTGTGAGTCAACTGGCTCTGTCGTCCATCTCTTTAGGAGTCAGCAGTAGCAATACCTGCCAGCAGTGATGGAAACCTTCATATAAGGAAGCAGCTGATTTGGGTGTATAGTGAACTGTATTTTATGTTGCTGTGAAATTCATTCTGATTTTAAGGACAATGCTTTTGGTTAATTTGTGCCCAGTAACATAAAAATTTATAAACTTCTCAGTTTTTATGGCAAGGTCATTTTAAAAGGGAAAATGTCCCATAGTAGGGGAGGGAATCAACCCACTCCATGGCGCCCGGTCCGTCTCGCTGGTGACAGGACGCCCTCCATAAAGAAGGGGATGTGTTCTTTTCCTGTGATGGATGAGCAGGGCCCTGAATGTGCACCTTCAAGTTATTAGTTGAAAATGACGTGCACTCTCCAGGCTAGAATAAGTTTTAAAGTATTTTCTTTTTCATCCAAATTGATTAGTGAAGAAAGATCCTGATCTACCTTCCCATTTGGACATAATTTTTGTTTGAAATCAGGAACTAGTTGAAACATTCAAGGTCAAGATCTTGATAAAAGATAAATGTCAGTAGTTATTACGTAGAACAAATGCTAAGACAAAAACAGGCCATTTGAAAACTGGCTTGCCATTAGTTTCTATGAAGAAGTTAAAACATTTCAGCTTTGTTTACCTTCCTTTGCACAACGAGTGTCTATAATGTAGCCCAAGCCAGGAAATAGTGAAAACTGGTATTGATTTTGCAGATATGGTTTTAAGATAATTATCATATTCTAGTAATAGGCAACTCAACTTTTAAAAAGAAGTAATTGTGTTCTTGGAAAGGAAACAAAGCTAACATTTGTATATAAAATCATATTTTCTTATTGATGCATTATAATTTCCGATGGCTGTTCCTGAACAAGAAAAAGTTAAGACTTGCATGAAAACTTGATATAAAATCTTAAATGCTTAGAGCTGCCTTTGTCAGTGGAAGCCAATGTCCTTTGCATGGTTCTTACTGTGCCGTAATTAAGCTGGAGAACAGCTGTCCGCCTCTGCAGGAGGACTGGTACTCACTACATCGCCATGCCAGGGCCGGTTCCCCGCTCCCCCACCCCAGCACTGAGGGTCCGTCAGGGAGCAACCTCCACCTGCTGCATGGTGCTGCGCCCCCACTGGTGTGCATGGGAACTGGGAGAGGGGCCCCGGGCCTCCTAGTCCTGATTCCGCCCAGGCAGCTCCGAACATGGGTGAGACCACATGGCCCCTTCTGACACCCAGATGCAACCCTGTGAGGAGCTGGAGTCAGGTCAGCAGCACCCAGAGGCTCCTGGGTATGCAGAATCGCACTGCCATGGCCAGACCCTTCCTCGCAGGCCTCCAGTACCCCTTCCCACCCATGGGATTTCCCTGGCAAAAGCTGGGTGGGGGCCCTGATGGGGGGCAGGCAGGAGTGTAGCTGCACAGCCCAGCCTGGGGACCCTCTTCCATGTGGCCGAGGGTGGTGTTCCTGCAATGCTTGGTCAGCTCTGCCTCCTGCTTTCCAATCTCCTAAGGCCCTGGACACCCACCTCCCAGTTCTGTCCCCCAAAACTCTCCTTCCTCCCCTCCTTCAGTGGAATGCATTTTCTTTTTGTTCGTCAAGTCCCAGCAGAACAGACATTAGAATGTTCCCAGTTTCCATTTTATTAGAACATTTCATAGATGTCATATCGGATAACGGGCTTTTTCTATAATGGTTTATTTGACCTAAGGAACACATAATAGATTTTTGGAAGGAGATTCTAAATATTGAGAATTAGATTGTTATTCAGAGTTAATACCCTAGGACAGACTTTTGGTATTGCTTCTGACATTTTCTTTGACTGAATGATGAAGTGAAATTTCTAAATTCAAATGTGGGAATTAGCTTTACACGTGGGAATTTTTTTGAGCTCACACTGTTCATAGTGGAAGTGGATGGAGTCAGTGATTATGTCTTGTTTCAGTTGGAAGCAGAGTCCATTACCTGGACTGACTTAGCTCAATGTTGGTTTTCATTCTTCGAGGAACTTGCATGATGAAGAACCAGAAATGGAACCTTTTCCTTTCACCTGCTGCGTGTGTAGAGTGGGCCACCTCTCATTTGTCTCCACAGCCTAGACCTTGCTCACATAATCCTGGCGCTTTGCAGAGGAAGGAGGTGGTAATTTTGCAGATTATTATCTAAACCAGATAAAATATCAAATGCCCATTTATCTGTTGGAAATACCTCATAGGAGATTGTGTTTGGAATTGGTTTTTCATTAACAAGCCAGTAAGGTCTTGTGTTTTTGCACAGTTGATTGAAACAATGGAAGCTGCTAGCACAACTTATCTTTCTGAAGAAGTTTCCAGGTACACCTTATGCTAAAAAGAATGTCAGTATTTCACTGTTGTTGCTTTTAATATCGTGGTATCAGTGAGCTAAGGACTTACTCATCTTCAACAAACTAAAGATTTTTAAAATATCTTAATTAATCACAAGCTACTTAACTACATATATGCACACACACCTATGCACACACAGACACATGCACACACATGCATGCACATGTGCACACTCAGATATCAGTTTTATACACACATACACACATGTGCCCACATATGCGCACACATGCACACACACATTCTCACATATGTGTGTACACTCAGATATCAGTTTTATACACACATACACACATGTGCCCACATATGCACACACATGCACACACGCACTCATTCTCACATGTGTGCACAGTCAGATATCACAGTTTTATACACACATACACACATGTGCCCACATATGCACACACATACTCATATTCTCACATATGTGTGCACACATGTGCACTCTAAAATACTACACATTACCCACATATGGGCACACATACGCCCACACACACATACAGAGTTCGGGCAGTGAAGAGTAGAGCCATTTTACTGGTAATCTGCAAGTCCAGTTTCACTTACGACATCAAATGGAGCTTAATGATATAAACAAAACCTGCAAGAATGGGTGAGGCTTTTCCCATAGCTAGCCACCTGAGTGGTGTCATTTCAGGAACCTAAGAATAATTTCCTCTCAATTTCCTGCCGTAATGCTTGATTTTTGCCCTCAGAAATGAATTCCTAAGTGTCTTGAAGACTTTTTGTTTTTAGTTAAACTTTAAAAACACCTCAGAGATCTAAACCCCAGGGAGCATCACGGGGCTCCTCTCCTCTGGGTCCAGCCACAGGCAGGGGCCTGCACAGTGAGCCCCAGGCGAGGGGCCCCTCAGTCTACACAGTGGGCCCCAGGCGAGGGGCCTCAGTCTACACAGTGAACCCCGGGCGAGGGGCCTCAGTCTGCATGGTGAGCCCCGGGCGAGGGGCCTCAGTCTACATAGTGAGCCCTGGAATGTGGGGCCTCAGTCTGCATGGTGATTCTGGGCAAGGGGTCTCAGTCTACACAGTGAGCCCTGGAATGAGGTACCTTAGTCTGCACAGTGAGCCCGGGCGAAGGGCCTCAGTCTACACAGTGAGCTCTGGAATGAGGGGTCTTAGTCTACACAGTGAGCCCTGGAATGAGGGGTCTCAGTCTGCACAGTGAGCCCTGGAATGAGGGGTCTCAGTCTACACAGTGAGCCCTAGAATGAGGAGTCTCAGTCTACACAGTGAGCCCTGGAATGGGGGGTCTCAGTCTGCACAGTGGACCCTGGAATGAGGGGTCTCAGTCTGCACAGTGAGCCCTGGAATGAGGGGTCTCAGTCTACACAGTGAGCCCTAGAATGAGGAGTCTCAGTCTACACAGTGAGCCCTGGAATGAGGGGTCTCAGTCTACACAGTGAGCCCTGGAATGGGGGGTCTCAGTCTGCACAGTGGGCCCTGGAATGAGGGGTCTCAGTCTGCACAGTGAGCCCTGGAATGAGGAGTCTCAGTCTACACAGTGAGCCCTGGAATGAGGAGTCTCAGTCTACACAGTGAGCCCTGGACGAGGTTCCTCAGTCTGCACAGTGGGCCCTGGAATGAGGGGTCTCAGTCTGCACAGTGAGCCCTGGAATGAGGAGTCTCAGTCTATAGAGTGAGCCCTGGAATGAGGAGTCTCAGTCTACACAGTGAGCCCTGGACGAGGGTCCTCAGTCTGCACAGTGGGCCCTGGAATGAGGGGTCTCAGTCTACACAGTGGGCCCTGGAATGAGAGTCCTCAGTCTGCACAGTGGGCCCTGGGCGAGGGTGTCAGTCTGAGGCACAGATGTGGAACCAGGAGTTGTGGATGGACGTTTTCCCAGGGCTTTGTGTTTTACCGAGGATGCTCTCTTGCCCTCTGCTCCACCTGGGCGTGTAGACGGATGTCTCGGCTCACTCTAAATTCAGGCTGGTTGCCTGAGTGGCTCAAGTCCAGGGGCATGGCTTTCACAGAAGATGTTTTATAGGCCCTGCAAACACATGCCAGGTCCTTCACATGCATGGCCCGTGTCGCAGGAAGACCAGACTCTGTTCCCCACTTGCAGACTCAGCCAGGTGCAGCGGTATCCCCTTGCTAGGCTGTGTGATTTTCTCCTTGAAGTTCTGCCTTTTAATTTTCGTCCTCACTCAGGCCTGACATGTCTGACACCCCTGCTGACTTCCATCTTTGACAGGCTTAAATCCCCATCCCTTCGCTCTTCCTGTAGTCCTGTCTGTTGCACGGATTACAGTTAAAATAGAAGACGAAGAACGCACTCTCGGAAGCCCGTCTGCCACACAGATACTGTACTGTGATAGAAAGCGCCCGCGGCAAATGCTTCTTGGACCCACAGGCTGCTGCGCGAGCGAGGATCTCCAGTAGTCTCTGTGTGGCTGCCTCTGCGGGAACTTCCAGCGGCAGTGTGGACACCGTCTGACCAGCCCCCCACTTCAGCGGCAGTGTGGACAACGTCCGACCAGCCCCCCCACTTCAGCGGCAGTGTAGACACCGTCCAACCAGCCCCCCACTTCAGCGGCAGTGTGGACACCGTCTGACCGGCCCCCCCGACTTCAGCGGCAGTGTGGACACCGTCCGACCAGCCCCCCACTTCAGCGGCAGTGTGGACACCGTCCGACCAGTCCCCCCTACTTCAGCGGCAGTGTGGACACCGTCCGACCGGCCCCCCCACTTCAGCGGCAGTGTGGACACCCTCCGACCAGCCCCCCACTTCAGCGGCAGTGTGGACACCCTCTGACCAGCCCCCTACTTTCCAGTGTTCCCCCGCCTCCACCCATCACGATAAGCACGCCAGGTTCTGCTGAGACCACTGTCCCATGAGTATGTGTCGTGTGCCTGGCGATTGCATCTGTGTGTTCCTGTTTAACCTCTCTGCAAACAGAGGGGGTCCCTGCCAGTGTGGCTTCAGTTTTGCAGATGAGGAAGTTGAGACTGTGGACTAGGAAGGTGTTTCCCTTCTTCCTGCAGCTCACAGATGCTGGGGTCTCCATGCTTCCAGCCCTCCGGCCCCTGGGCACCTATGTTCTTTGTGGTCCATTATTATGTCTTTTCCCTGTTCCAGTTTTTGATCTAGTTACTGAAAGGCCTGTGCTGCTAATTCCTTTCATACGTATCAATAGTCAAGGGCTATGTGTATAGACTTTCAGCATTTGAACTACGTTATTGGTGTGAAAAGTTAAGCATTTGTGAACTAAGTGCCCACCATGTACTGCCCTGTGCAGGATACAGTAGAGCTTTGAGCATCTCGTAGGTTGATAAGGAAAAGCCACAGGCACAGATTAAAGGACAAGAGGAGAGGGGAGAGCCTCACGCTTGTTTGTAGAGCCGGTGTCCTGACTCTCTAGGGAGAAAGATGGGAGGTGCTGCTGGACCAGCAGGAATCGGAATAGGAGGCAGATGAGCCAGCCTTTCCCAGGACGGGCAGCATCACAGGGTCTCTGTGGGGGCGTGATGGGGGTGGGTGATGATGTTGCCGCAGAGGTCTCCAGACAGCACTAGTGTGACCTGGCCCAGCAAACGGACAGACGGCGCCTCCACTGTGTGTGTGACCAGGACAGACGGTGCCTCCACTGTGTGTGTGACCAGGACAGACGCCTCCACTGTGTGAGACCAGGACAGACGATGCCTCCATTGTGTGTATGACCAGGACAGACGACGCCTCCACTGTGTGTGTGACCAGGACAGACGGTGCCTCCACTGTGTGTGTGACCAGGACAGACGGCGCCTCCACTGCGTGTGTGACCAGGACAGACGGTGCCTCCACTGTGTGAGACCAGGACAGACGATGCCTCCACTGTGTGTATGACCAGGACAGACGACGCCTCCACTGTGTGTGTGACCAGGACAGACGACGCCTCCACTGTGTGTGTGACCAGGACAGACGCCTCCACTGTGTGAGACCAGGACAGACGATGCCTCCACTGTGTGTATGACCAGGACAGACGGCGCCTCCACTGTGTGTGACCAGGACAGACGGCGCCTCCACTGTGTGTGTGACCAGGACAGACGATGCCTCCACTGCGTGAGACCAGGACAGACGATGCCTCCATTGTGTGTATGACCAGGACAGACGACGCCTCCACTGTGTGTGTGACCAGGACAGACGGTGCCTCCACTGTGTGTGTGACCAGGACAGACGGCGCCTCCACTGCGTGTGTGACCAGGACAGACGGTGCCTCCACTGTGTGAGACCAGGACAGACGATGCCTCCACTGTGTGTATGACCAGGACAGACGACGCCTCCACTGTGTGTGTGACCAGGACAGACGGTGCCTCCACTGTGTGTGTGACCAGGACAGACGCCTCCACTGTGTGAGACCAGGACAGACGATGCCTCCATTGTGTGTATGACCAGGACAGACGACGCCTCCACTGTGTGTGTGACCAGGACAGACGGTGCCTCCACTGTGTGTGTGACCAGGACAGACGCCTCCACTGTGTGAGACCAGGACAGACGATGCCTCCATTGTGTGTATGACCAGGACAGACGACGCCTCCACTGTGTGTGACCAGGACAGACGACGCCTCCACTGTGTGTGACCAGGACAGACGATGCCTCCACTGTGTGTGTGACCAGGACAGACGGTGCCTCCACTGTGTGTGTGACCAGGACAGACGGCGCCTCCACTGCGTGTGTGACCAGGACAGACGGTGCCTCCACTGTGTGAGACCAGGACAGACGATGCCTCCACTGTGTGTATGACCAGGACAGACGACGCCTCCACTGTGTGTGTGACCAGGACAGACGACGCCTCCACTGTGTGTGTGACCAGGACAGACGCCTCCACTGTGTGAGACCAGGACAGACGATGCCTCCACTGTGTGTATGACCAGGACAGACGGCGCCTCCACTGTGTGAGACCAGGACAGACGGCGCCTCCACTGTGTGTGTGACCAGGACAGACGCCTCCACTGTGTGTGACCAGGACAGACGACGCCTCCACTGTGTGTGTGACCAGGACAGACGGCGCCTCCACTGTGTGTGTGACCAGGACAGACGGTGCCTCCACTGTGTGTGTGACCAGGACAGACGCCTCCACTGTGTGAGACCAGGACAGACGATGCCTCCACTGTGTGTGTGACCAGGACAGACGACGCCTCCACTGTGTGTGTGACCAGGACAGACGACGCCTCCACTGTGTGTGTGACCAGGACAGACGGTGCCTCCACTGTGTGTATGACCAGGACAGACGACGCCTCCACTGTGTGTGTGACCAGGACAGACGGCGCCTCCACTGTGTGTATGACCAGGACAGACGACGCCTCCACTGTGTGTGACCAGGACAGACGATGCCTCCACTGTGTGTGTGACCAGGACAGACGACGCCTCCACTGTGTGTGACCAGGACAGACGGCGCCTCCACTGTGTGTGTGACCAGGACAGACGATGCCTCCACTGTGTGTGACCAGGACAGACGACGCCTCCACTGTGTGTGACCAGGACAGACGATGCCTCCACTGTGTGTGTGACCAGGACAGACGACGCCTCCACTGTGTGTGACCAGGACAGACGGCGCCTCCACTGTGTGTGTGACCAGGACAGACGATGCCTCCACTGTGTGTGACCAGGACAGACGACGCCTCCACTGTGTGTGACCAGGACAGACGATGCCTCCACTGTGTGTGACCAGGACAGACGACGCCTCCACTGTGTGTGACCAGGACAGACGATGCCTCCACTGTGTGTGTGACCAGGACAGACGATGCCTCCACTGTGTGTGTGACCAGGACAGACGATGCCTCCACTGTGTGTGTGACCAGGACAGACGATGCCTCCACTGTGTGTGACCAGGACAGACGATGCCTCCACTGTGTGTGTGACCAGGACAGACGATGCCTCCACTGTGTGTATGACCAGGACAGACGATGCCTCCACTGTGTGTGACCAGGACAGACGATGCCTCCACTGTGTGTGTGACCAGGACAGACGGCGCCTCCACTGTGTGTGTGACCAGGACAGACGATGCCTCCACTGTGTGTGACCAGGACAGACGACGCCTCCACTGTGTGTGACCAGGACAGACGATGCCTCCACTGTGTGTGTGACCAGGACAGACGGTGCCTCCACTGTGTGTATGACCAGGACAGACGATGCCTCCACTGTGTGTGTGACCAGGACAGACGGCGCCTCCACTGTGTGTGTGACCAGGACAGACGATGCCTCCACTGTGTGTGACCAGGACAGACGGCGCCTCCACTGTGTGTGTGACCAGGACAGACGACGCCTCCACTGTGTGTGTGACCGGGACAGACGGCGCCTCCACTGTGTGTGTGACCAGGACAGACGACGCCTCCACTGTGTGTGTGACCAGGACAGACGATGCCTCCACTGTGTGTGACCAGGACAGACGACGCCTCCACTGTGTGTGACCAGGACAGACGATGCCTCCACTGTGTGTGTGACCAGGACAGACGGCGCCTCCACTGTGTGTGTGACCAGGACAGACGATGCCTCCACTGTGTGAGACCAGGACAGACGGCGCCTCCACTGTGTGTGTGACCAGGACAGACGACGCCTCCACTGTGTGTGACCAGGACAGACGATGCCTCCACTGTGTGTGTGACCAGGACAGACGGCGCCTCCACTGTGTGTGTGACCAGGACAGACGACGCCTCCACTGTGTGTGTGACCAGGACAGACGATGCCTCCACTGTGTGTGACCAGGACAGACGACGCCTCCACTGTGTGTGACCAGGACAGACGATGCCTCCACTGTGTGTGTGACCAGGACAGACGGCGCCTCCACTGTGTGTGTGACCAGGACAGACGACGCCTCCACTGTGTGTGACCAGGACAGACGATGCCTCCACTGTGTGTGTGACCAGGACAGACGGCGCCTCCACTGTGTGTGTGACCAGGACAGACGATGCCTCCACTGTGTGTGACCAGGACAGACGATGCCTCCACTGTGTGTGTGACCAGGACAGACGGCGCCTCCACTGTGTGTGTGACCAGGACAGACGGCGCCTCCACTGTGTGTGACCAGGACAGACGACGCCTCCACTGTGTGTGTGACCAGGACAGACGGCGCCTCCACTGTGTGTGTGACCAGGACAGACGACGCCTCCACTGTGTGTGTGACCGGGACAGACGGCGCCTCCACTGTGTGTGTGACCAGGACAGACGACGCCTCCACTGTGTGTGTGACCAGGACAGACGATGCCTCCACTGTGTGTGACCAGGACAGACGACGCCTCCACTGTGTGTGACCAGGACAGACGATGCCTCCACTGTGTGTGTGACCAGGACAGACGGCGCCTCCACTGTGTGTGTGACCAGGACAGACGACGCCTCCACTGTGTGTGACCAGGACAGACGATGCCTCCACTGTGTGTGTGACCAGGACAGACGGCGCCTCCACTGTGTGTATGACCAGGACAGACGGTGCCTCCACTGTGTGTGTGACCAGGACAGACGGCGCCTCCACTGTGTGTGTGACCAGGACAGACGCCTCCACTGTGTGTGACCAGGACAGACGATGCCTCCACTGTGTGTGTGACCAGGACAGACGACGCCTCCACTGTGTGTGACCAGGACAGACGGCGCCTCCACTGTGTGTGTGACCGGGACAGATGACACCTCCACTGTGTGTGACCAGGAGCCTTTTGGCTTGTGTTTCCTGTGGGGTTTCCATACCCAGGGCTGTAGAAGCAGGACGGGGACTGACTGAGCCTGCAAGGGGCCTGCCGTGGGCGGGTAGACTCGTCTGAGTGCAAGTGGCCACCTCACTCCTCTCCACGCTACTGGGTTCATCCCTGTCCCAGGCCTCCAGCTGCTTTAGTTCAGGGCAGGCAAACTGTGGCCTGCATCCTGCCACTGAGTTTGCAGAGAAAGTTTGATTGGACACAGCCACACCTATGGCTTTGTAGTGCTTGGGGCCACTTTCCTAGTTGTGGCAGAGAACAAGTGTACCCCACAACCTGAACTATTCCCACCCCATCCCTTTGTGGAAAGCGCTCACTGACCCCTGCCCCTACAGGCCCTCCGTCCTCAGCTTGGCCCTGCTCAGTCAGCTGCATTGACCAAGACTCTCACATGACCCCTGCCCCTACAGGCCCTCCATCCTCATGCTTGGCCCTGCTCAGTCAGATGCATTATCCTAGACTCTCACATGATCCCTGCCCCTATAGGCCCTCCGTCCTCAGCTTGTCCCTGCTCAATCAGATGCGTTATCCCAGACTCTGACACCATAGGACTTCCTTCTTTGAACATTGATTCCGGCTGATGTTCAGTGTGTGACTAAACTGAGCTGTGAAGAAACTCAATTGATTTGACCACAGCATGTTTTACTGGGATTCTATTTCGCATTAGGTTGGGAAGTCCTCCTGCAAGCAAACCTGGTTTATTGTCTTATTAGTGAGTGCCCTAGCTCTTGGCTGCCCTATGAATGGCAGTCACTGCCAGGCTCAGCCAGGCCTGCCCTGCTGAAGTTGACCAGCAGTCCCAGTGGCTGAAGGCCTGGAGGCAGCAGTGACTCTGTCCTCCTGGCTCTGCCTGTGCTGGGCTTTAAGCACACATTGCTCTTGGCAGAAATTAAAGTTTATCTGTCCTCATAATTACGTTGAGGTCTCCTACATTAAGTAATCTGTGATATTTAAACAAAGTTCATACTTTTTACATTTAATTGACTATTTTAGGTCATATTCCTTATCAACTGGAAATATTTTGTTAATTCAAAGGAAACACATTTCAGCAGTCACTTTAACTAAAAAGTCTTTGCTATTTGAGATTTTATCTTCTTGTCTGTTAAAAAACTGTTTGGCACCTTAATTTGCATGAATCGATTTCCAGTCGCTCAAATCCAGTTTGTGCAATGACAAGCTGGTGTGGCTGAAACGGCAGTTGCTCAAGAGCATTAGAACAGCCTTCACCATGTGGGTTTACATGGACAGCACGGTCAGCAGACAGTGAGACGGGCGCTTGTCCACTCGTCTGACACCGTGGGGCCATAGGAGGCAGCGACTGAGAAGGTCAGTCCCATTAAAAATGCCCTTTGGCTCATCTGGAAGCTGTATCTCTGGTCATGCACCATGCCAGCCACGCCAGCCACGCCAGCATTATCACGGCATGTGCTTTAAAATCATGCAGACGTTGTTCTAGAGTGAGTGTGAACAGCTTTCACACTTGGGCACTGTGCCGGTTCCCATGCTGGCTTTCCCACATGCACACAGGTGGCTGGCACGCAGCTCTGCACCTCTTACTGTTGGGAGCTCAGAAGCCTCTCTCTGTGGTGGTTTTTCATCTCGGGATAATTGAACCCAGCTGGGAAGTACCAGGACCAGAGAATCTCTGCTGCATAATATCACCACCCCGTGGCAACTCACAAAGCAAGATTTTCACCGAGAATCGCACATAGAAATAATTTCACATCTGCTTCTGGAAAGATTTTCACCGAGAATCGCACATAGAAAGAATTCCACATCTGCTTCTGGAGCACATTTCCCTCTAAAGAGAGGGGCAGAGCGACTTCACCGTCTGTCGTCATCTGGTGGTGGAAACCACTTCTAGGTTTGAAGGTGAGTTATTCATGCTGGAATTTCGTGATCTCTGTGGGGACTGTGGCTTATTCATTGGAGCTTGAATATTTTTCAGGGTTTGCTTTGGTGTGATTATACATATAAAGATATGTCTAGAATTCATGTCTCTATCAGACTCTGATTCTTTCACCCTGAGGTGTACCCACTTCTGCCCTCCCGCCGACCTAGCACCTATGTCAGACTGGGGGATTCAGGTAAAATAAACCGAGGGAAGTCTTGAGCTTGAGGCAGAGCCACTGGTTTCTTGCAGGGACAAAGTCAGGCAGCAGTGGTAGCGTTCCCTTCCGGGATGGCCTGTGTGTGTGTGAATGCAGGGCGTGGGGAGGGACAAAAGTTGTTTCCCCAGCAGCACGATAAAATCACTTTGTGAACTTTGGTTCAGTATTTTATTTGTCAAAGAAGTTAAGTTGCTTAACATTTTAACTGTCAACAAATAAGTAGATACATGCATTAAAATTTGATGGCCATTAAATAATTTTTATAAAGCAAATATATCAAGTATAAAATAAATCATACAATTATTCAAGTATCCATACAGTGGCCTGACTTTTATTGATTGCCTTACAAGTAAAATTTACTTATTTGTTTCTACAAGGAAGCCATCCTGCTTTAAAAAGTTTTCAGCTCCAGAGGGACCAATTTGGGTATGAAACCCTGAAGCGTATTAGAAAGTGACCGTTAATTGCTAACCTGAGAGAACGTTTGTATTCCAGGCTGTCATGAAGCCCCTGACTGGCTTAAGGACAGATTATTTTATTCAATGGTTCTGGTTGATTCCTATCTCTAATCCAAGCCCTCTGTTTCTTACTCCATGTAGTAAGGGCTGAGGCATTATAGCTTAGCAGTCTTCAGAAATCTTTTACATGTATTATCGCACCTGATTTTGTACTGAATTGAAGAAGGGATTGAGGTCTCAGAGATGGTGCTCACACAATGTGTTGAGCACATCAGGGCATGTCTGAGAGTGAGAGTGAACGCATTGACAGCATTGTCAGGAGAACAGTCATTAACAGCGATGGTGGTGAGCACACTGGGACCTGTGAGCACCCTGATCTTAGGACTCACTGAGTAAGGGGAACCAACACCCACTCAGACTGTCTTTGGTAAACATTAAAGAGTAGCCATCTGTGTGTCAGGAGAATACGCACAGAACCCAGGGCACAGAGGGGAGAGCTGGGGCTCCAGCCACGGGTTTGGGACCCAGGCTTTACGGCTCCAGAGACTGAACAGTCTTGGGATTCCTACAAGAGTGACTCTGGCCAGCTCAGCACAGCTGGGACCATCCCTGCCTCATCCCCCATTCATACAAATGCTCATCTAGGTCTTAAGAGCAGGCAAAGCAATTAATCAATATCCCACTGCAGTAGGACAAAGTGTTATGCACCTTTTATAGATAAACTAAAAGGAATAGTCATTCCAAAGATTACCATGCACGTGTCACACCTGGGATGCAGACTCATGGTACTGGATTAGCCCACAGTTTTGTTCCTATGATGGTCACTTGTGCCTACAGATAATTAATATCAATTTGAGTATATTCTTGGGAGTAAATAGCTCTAGTAAAAGTGATATAGCTTAAATATCTTAAGAAGATATTGTTACCCTTGACATCAGAAACATAAGAAGGATGGAACGCATAGATTTGCTGATTTTTCCAGGTGTACAGATTATAAGCTGCCAGCCCTAAAATACGATATATTTTGGAAAGTGCTCAGAGAGAACAATTGAAATGACCCATTTCATTCCCTGAGGATGAAAATGCTCTAAGGTGAGAGCAGAAACCATGAGGGTGGCGTGTGGCATTTCTCTTGTTTGACTCGAGCAAAGGCATTCCATTATTGGCAGGGGCAGATTAGCCATGTTGAGCTCAGCTAGCATTTTTGGACCAATTATGGGAGTGATTTCCCCTAATTATAGATCAACAGTTTGTGGGCAGGCAGACACCTGTCTTGGCTGTCTTGATCTCAGGCAGTCAGAGTCCTGGAAAAACTATTGATATAAGAGGTCAGAGACCACAGATAATTCACTAAGTTAATAAGAACTCAGCTAAAGACTCCATGAGACTTCAGCTCACATAATTTTACAGGTGAGTACTTCCCTGGGAAAGGTGGGGGACCCAGTGTCTCCTCCCACCACATCTTCTGCCCATCTCCCTGTGGGACACCCCAACCCAGATGCTGTGGGGTTGGAATGTGCACACCACTGTCAGTGGTGGGAGGAGGCAGGCACCGTCGGGTTCTGCCTGTGACGTGTTCCTCTCCCTGGGCTTCTCCTCTTGTTTGTTCCACGACCATCTCCACCCCCCACTTCCTGGGAGCATCTTCTCTCTTGATGTTAGCGCCAGTATTAGGAAAGGGCCTGAGACCATCATGGCCAAGTTGCATGTGCGAAAGCATCATGGACAAAGCCACTGGCCTTGCAAAGGGGTGAGTTGTACAAAGTCCTGCAAAGAGCATGTTGGTTGTCACCAGCGAACAGGTGCAGAGAAGCCCAGACAGCACCCAATGCCCGTCTGAGGGCCATGTCCGAGCCACACACCCATCCTCCCTGGGGGTGGACAGTCCTGTGCTGAGGTAGACACTCCAAACACCACCCACCCTCCCTGGGAGTGGACAGTCCCATGCCGAGGTAGACACTCCAGCCGCCACCCATCCTCCCTGGGAGTGGACACTCCCGTGCCGAGGTAGATGCTCCAAACAGCACCCACCCTCCCTGGGAGTGGACGGTCCCGTGCCGAGGTAGACACTCTAAACACCACCCACCCTCCCTGGGAGTGGACAGTCCCGTGCCAAGGTAGACGCTCCAAACAGCACCCACCCTCCCTGGGAGTGGACGGTCCCGTGCCAAGGTAGACACTCCAGCCGCCATCCATCCTCCCTGGGATTGGACGGTCCCATGCCGAGGTAGACACTCCAGCCGCCACCCATCCTCCCTGGGAGTGGACGGTCACGTGCCGAGGTAGACACTCCAGCCGCCACCCATCCTCCCTGGGAGTGGACACTCCCGTGCTTAGGTAGATGCTCCAAACAGCACCCACCCTCCCTGGGAGTGGACGGTCCCGTGCCGAGGTAGACGCTCCAAACAGCACCCACCCTCCCTGGGGGTGGACAGTACCGTGCCGAGGTAGATGCTCCAACCACAATCCACCCTCCCTGGGAGTGGACAGTCCCATGCCGAGGTAGACACTCCAGCCGCCACCCATCCCCCCCGGGAGTGGATGGTTCCGTGCCGAGGTAGACACTCCTTCCTTGTTGGTATTCAGGGTATTCAGAGTGTTGTCTTTGCACTGAAATTGGCAGCTTTAGAAACACTGGTGGATTTAAACAATCTTGATCTGAATCTTAGAGGCTGTCATGTGAATGTCCTCACAGGGAACATATGAAGAACATTAAACTCGCATGTATCTTTGTACAGAGGGAAGGAGCATTGCGATCTGCAGACATCCAGCCACATGCCGTGTGTGATGCTGGCACCATGGTCAAGATGGTGACCTTTTCTCCCCAGGCATTGGCGTGATGCCGATTTTCAAATTTTCAAAGGACACACTGTCGCTAATAGAAATATTTTCTTTTGTTCAGATGCCCAGGGCCAAGGGACTCAAAGAGTATCTGGTCAGGTTGTTCTCAGCGTGCCTGAGATATAGCAGTTCAGAAGTGGAGCTATCACGTAGGTCTGTTCGCTGGGCTCTACATCTGTGACTGAAGCTGGATCAGTTCAGCTGTCTTCGCTCCTCTCTCTGTAGCAATATGTAGAGGGGGTGTTCGTTGATGGATTGATGAGGTCTTATGATGTTCCCAGGCCAGATTCTAACTCCTGGGTTCAAGCAGCATCCCATGACCTGAGCCTCCCCTGTAGCGGGCACTGTAGTTGCACACCGCAGCACCTGGCTGGAGTCCTGTTTGAGGTCCAGCAACAAGCGAGTTACTGAGAATGAGAATGACCTTTGTGTGTGTGAACCTCAGTGTGCGTGTGTTTCAGCGCAACAGTGTCGGCAGGCCCCGTTTGTTCCTGCTCAGGACCTGGTGATCATTGTTCCCCACGTGTGGCTCAAATATCATTAGCGGCTCTTGTTTCTTACCAGCACCTTTTCCCCATCGCAGCCCAGCCCTGCTTTCCTTAGAGTGCACCTGTGAGGTCTTGCCCCACCTCATTCTGCAGCGAGATGGGGCATTCCCGTTTCAATGTCTGTCTGTGTTGATATTTTCAAATAATGCTTGGTCTTTCCGTCTGCAAGTGCTCAAACTTTATATATGTGTGTGTGTGTGTGTGTGTGTGTGTGTGTGTGTGTGTGTGTAGTTTGCTTCCGATGCTCTGCAAAATCCCGGCTGCTGCTTTCTAAGTGTGGGTGGCTGTGGGTTTGCACCTTCCCCTTTTTCTCAGCCTCCACCTCTTGTGTCTCAGGGCCCCTGTCTTCCTCATGCCTCTGTCCAGGTGCCATGTGCGGTGTGGGGTGTTTCAGACCTCTTCCTGCAGGACGAGGCCTCCGGCTTGGGCTGTAAGTGAATCCCCAGTGGAGGAGTGGACAGTCCCATGCCAAGGTAGATGCTCCATCCACCACCCACCCTCCCTGGGGGTGGACAGTTCCGTGCCGAGGTAGACACTCCAAACACCACCCACCCTCCCTGGAAGTGGACAGCCCCGTGCCGAGGCAGACACCCCAGCCACCACCCACCCTCCCTGGGGGTGGACAGTCCCGTGCCGAGGCAGACACCCCAGCCACCACCCACCCTCCCTGGGGGTGGACAGTCCCGTGCCGAGGCAGACACCCCAGCCGCCACCCACCCTCCCTGGGGGTGGACAGTCCCGTGCCGAGGCAGACACCCCAGCCGCCACCCACCCTCCCTGGGGGTGGACAGTCCCGTGCCGAAGGAGACGCTCCAACCACCACCCATGCCAAGGTAGTGCCTGCACCTCTGCCTGGCACAGCAGCTTGGGGGCGGCTCTTCCCCCGCTGTGCCCTCTGTGGTGGGGGTGCCTCCTTGCTTCCTTTGAAGAGCTTTACTCCCTCATGCTCTGTTGTATGACTGGAGACAGAACTAAAACTAAAAGGAGGCAACAGAGGAGGAGTGCGGTGGGTTTGTTCTCTCTGCTCGTGAAGAACTCACAGGCGCTTCAGCAGGGCTGGGTCACGGTCACGTAGGGTCCTCTGGGTGAAACGGACCTTCTTATGGAGCCTCCTGTGGGACACGCGTGAGGGGCTTAGGCCAGCGGCGTCTCAAGCTCATTTTGAAGAACCGAGATGTGACTCCATTTCCCAACTGCAGCCCTTGATCCTTGTAATAAGGGGAAGCTGGGATAGAACCTTGGCGTGGCAGAGTCTGGAATGACGGACAGAGGTGTTGGTGTGGGTCTCTCCCTTTCGGGAGCGGCTGCCTTTTTCCACAAGAGTAGCCGTTCTCTCTCTCTCTGTGTCTCTGCTCCCCCCTCTCCTGTGTGTGTGCATATGCGTGCATGTGCATGTGTGTGCATGTGTGTGTGCGCGTGTATGTGTGTGCGTGTATGTGTGTGCGTGCATGTGCGTGTGCATGTGTGTGTGCGTGTGTGTGTGCGCACGTGTGTGTGTCTTAATTAGTTGCATTGTTTGGGTTGCCCTAGAACATTCTTAAATCATAGCCTGAGCAACTTCCAAACAAGCAAACACGGTGCCGCCCTCTTTCACACTCCCCCGACCTGGATCCCCGATCCTGAATCCAAACTTCATGACGTGTCTGAAGATTGTTTTCAAGGCTGTTCTCTTGGTCTCTGTCCAGCACGTCTTCCCATAAACTTAACTGAGCCCGGCATTGGGATGACAAAGATTAATAAAATAGGATTCTTTCCAGAGAAGCCCATTTTCTGGTTGGAAAAGATATGACTACAAAGTAATTATAATGTAAATAAATACACTAAAAGAAGCACAAAGAGTTACCAGAATAGTTAAGTCAAATGTCTTTTTTGGTTTTAAGTGATCGATATGGCGGAGAGCAGCTGTGTGGAATTCTGCCGCTCGGTGAGGATGAGCGATGCCTGGAGAACCTTCCACATTTGGTCTTCTCTGTACTTGCCCACCCTCCCCTAGAGCCATGCCTGGCTCTGATAAAGTGCTACTTTATAAATTTTAGGTTATTTGAAAGAAGCAAAAGGAACAAATGACAGGGGAGGCAGGGAGGGACCAGCCTAACGGGGGTTCTGAGAGACACGGTCGCAATGGCTCTGAGGCCTGTCAGCCTTGGGAGTTTCCAGCTGTGAGCATGGTGCCCTGGCTTCTGTGTGTACTGAGAAAAGACAATATACAAAGTGAGGGACAGGGACAGAGCACGCTGCAGGGAAAGTTCCGTAGAGTTTCTAGGGAGCAGGGAGCACCTGGGACGCACATCTGGGCTCCAGCAGCAGGGCTGAGACGGTGCCCTGAAGCTGCACCAGGGATTCCCGGCAGAAGGCTCCGGCCCGTCCAGGCCGCCTCCAGCACCACCATGCACTTCGTCCCGGCTTCCAGGAGCCCTGGCAGAAACGGAGCTCAGCTGCCAGTCTGGCGTCCTCGAACATGCTGCGAGTGGCGTTGGTGCCCATGGCTGTGAAAATGGAATCGTTGTCACCTCATCCAGGACGTGCCTCACGATCGTGCTGTCTCGTTGGTGGAGACGTTTGCCGTCTTCCGAAGCTTCTCTGCACCAGACCCTCTGAGATGGCGCGCTTGCCCCATGACCCCAACGCTTTGCTCTTCACGTCTCCTTTGACAAACCACTGTGACTTCAGATTGCCGTTCACATGGAAGCTCCACTTCACGGTTGGTGTTGTACTGTCTGGCTTTGTGGACGAGGACGCCCGCCGCCTTGGCTGCACCCTGGAATGCCTTGCACTGGGCCCCGGCTGCACGTGCCTGCTCCGACCTGCTCCTGCTGTGATCTAAACTGCTGGCTGGGCTGCCAGTTTTTCTAATTATCTTTTTCCTTTTCTTTGCAGGTTGTCTTATATTGAGAACATTTTCTTAATTTGTCACTGCATTAATGTCCACATCTGGAAACTGACAAAATTCACAATAATAGATGACAAGAAGTTATATTACTCTGTAGACATTGATTTTGTCATTTTGAATTGAAAATATTGAAAACTGAAATTAAACATATGGAATACTGCACATGGCTCAGGTTTCTTACTCATGCAAAACAGCATTGAGTGTTATCAGTGCTACGTATTCTATGCTTTAGGTAAAATATTTATGAAAATACCCATGAGATTAACGACTTATATGATATTCTAACTGACCCCCAACACATTTATTCTAATTTCTTCTGATCTTTGAAGTTCTAAAGGTTATCGCTAAACATTGGGAATATGTATCTTTTTAAGATATGCCTGTTCTATAAATTTTTAAATATCATTTACATTGTACGCTTAAAAGTTAACCAAATAAGAATCACATTTGAAAAGTTAGAAGTAATTACCACACTGTTTGTGGCAGGTGAAATATGTGCCCATAATGGCTGTGCCTCTTTATTTCTAGTATTTAGGGAAGGGTTTTTTTTTACGTAAATTGTTTTACAGAAAAGGTATAAACACAAGATGGGAAATGGAAGAAGTTCATTATATTTCACAGTTATATAACAACTTGTTATGAAACAGGATTATAACAAAGTTAGCATATTTGTGAATTATGCGTTAATCCAGCACATATTAGTTACACGCCCGTGGTGCTGCAGGTGAGGTGCCGGGTGCCCATTATTCTCCAGATGGGGTGCCAGGCACCCATTCTCCAGGTGTGGTACCAGGTGCCCGTTATTCTCCAGGTGGGGTGCTTGGTGCCCGTTATTCTCCAGGTGGGGTGCTCGGTGCCTGTTATTCTCCAGGTGCGGTGCCAGGCGCTCGTTATTCTCCAGTTGGGGTGTCAGGCGCCCATTATTCTCCAGGTTTGGTGCCAGGTGCCGGTTACTCCCCAGGTAGGGTGCTCGGTGCCCATTATTCTCCAGGTGGGGTGCCAAGCGCCCGTTATTCTCCAGGTGGGGTGCCAGGGGCCCGTTATTCTCCAGGTGGGGTGTCAGGCGCCCGTTATTCTCCAGGTGGGGTACCAGGCGCCCGTTATTCTCCAGCTGGGGTGCCAGGCGCCCGTTATTCTCCAGGTGGGGTGTCAGGCGCCCGTTATTCTCCAGGTGGGGTGTCAGGCGCCCGTTATTCTCCAGGTGGGGTGTCAGGCGCCCGTTATTCTCCAGGTCGGGTGTCAGGCGCCCGTTATTCTCCAGGTGGGGTGTCAGGCGCCCGTTATTCTCCAGGTGGGGTGTCAGGCGCCCGTTATTCTCCAGGTGGGGTGCCAGGCGCCCGTTATTCTCCAGGTGGGGTGCTCGGTGCCTGTTATTCTCCAGGTGCGGTGCCAGGCGCTCGTTATTCTCTAGGTGGGGTGTCAGGCGCCCATTATTCTCCAGGAGCAGTGCCAGGTGCCGGTTACTCTCCAGGTAGGGTGCTCGGTGCCCATTATTCTCCAGGTGGGGTGCCAAGCGCCCGTTATTCTCCAGGTGGGGTGCCAGGGGCCCGTTATTCTCCAGGTGGGGTGTCACGCGCCCGTTATTCTCCAGGTGGGGTACCAGGCGCCCGTTATTCTCCAGTTGGGGTGCCAGGCGCCCATTATTCTCCAGGTGGGGTGTCAGGCGCCCGTTATTCTCCAGGTGGGGTGTCAGGCGCCCGTTATTCTCCAGGTGGGGTGTCAGGCGCCCGTTATTCTCCAGGTCGGGTGTCAGGCGCCCGTTATTCTCCAGGTCGGGTGTCAGGCGCCCGTTATTCTCCAGGTGGGGTGTCAGGCACCCGTTATTCTCCAGGTCGGGTGTCAGGCGCCCCTTATTCTCCAGGTGGGGTGTCAGGCGCCCGTTATTCTCCAGGTGGGGTGTCAGGCGCCCTTTATTCTCCAGGTGGGGTGCCAGGCGCCCGTTATTCTCCACATGCGGTGCCAGGCACCCGTTATTCTCCAGGTGCAGTGCCAGGTGCCCGTGATGCTCCAGATGTGCCAGGCGTGGCTGCCCTGGCAGTGGATGTGGTATCAGACACAGATGTTCCTCAGAAGCTGTAGGATGCTCACGGGGCTGGAGAGCCATCCAGGAGCTAGGGTGTGGAGACAAAGGAGGCTGGTGGAGTTAAGATGGGTCACTGCTACTGTCAACCATGGCGGGGAATTTGGAGTTTTAAAGGCAGTGAGAATCCCTTGGGATTTTTTAAAGCTGGAAGTCTTTTGATCAGAGTTGCATTTTCAGAAGCTCCCTCAGGCTGCAGCATGGAGATGGCTTAGCAGTCTGGAGGGAGGACAATGGCGGGATGTGGAGGCCTCCACTGTGAGCCTGTGAAGGACGGCCTGACCGAGGGGCAGCCAGGGCAGGAGGGACGTGGGCCCTGAGGGAGGAGGATCACTGAAGATGAATTGGACATGGCTTGTGAGGGCGAGGGATCCAAGCTGTCCTAGCTTCCCCTGAGCCTTGGAAGGACTCTGCACTTTCAGCTGGAAACAGGTAGTGAGGCTCTGTGAAGGGCTGCAGGTGCAGGGGGAGGAGATAACATAGCGTGGCCGGCCAGGTCCCCAGGGCGTGCCTGTGATCTTGAGTCTAGCAGGCAGCGGGAGGGCTCTGTAGAAAGTCCACAGAGCCTGCACTGGAACCGCTTGGGAAAGATTCTTCCAGATTTGGATGTCAACTGAAGCCGTAATTCTGGCTGAGGCTGTCTTGGATGGGATATTAGGGCGAGAAGAGTACAACCTGGGACAAATTTCCAAGGAATACCAGCATTTAGGGTGGGCAGAGTAGTGAGGAAAGTGGGCAAAGAGTGGCCGAGGTACAGAGGAAACTGGAGCGAGAGGCATCAGGGAAATCAATGGAAGAGGTTCTGGTGGGATGGCCAACGGCATCCAGCAGTGCTGAGAGGTTCTGGGGGGATGGCCAAGGGCGTCCAGCGGTGCCGAGAGGTTCGGGTAGGACGACCAACGGTGTCCAGCAGTGCTGAGAGGTTTGGATGGGATGGCCAAGGGCGTCCAGTGGTGCCAACAGGTTCTGGCAGGATGGCCTAGGGTGTCCAGCAGTGCTGAGAGGTGAATCTGTGTTTTAATACTGAGAAGAGTAACTGGGTTAGAGAAAGGCGGGTGACCTTGACTGAGGAATGGAGGAGGGGCTGAGCCTCAGTTACAGGGGATGGAAAGTCAAAGGGGGATGGAGAGAAGGCCATGAGCACCAAAAATGCGTCCTTGTCTGGGAGGGGCAGGTGGGGTCAAAGGAGAGATGGGTTACTGTTCGAGCTGGGGAAGGCAAGAGCTTATTTCAATCTTGACAGAAAGACTCTTGCAGACACAAACATGTGGGCAATGTGGAAAAGGAGGGTGTGGTTGGTGCAGAGACCCGGTTAAGGGAAGAGGAGCTCATCCCGAGAGGAAGCTGGGAGGCCCGGCCCTGCACCCAGGGGAGGAGCCATGGAATAGGCTTATTACCTGGATGTCATTACTATTTCAACCTCAGGATTAGACAAATGTTAACTTTGTAAATCTTAAAATACATACTTTCACACCAGGAAATAATGGTTAAGGCCCTAGTTCCTCCTCCTCTTACAACAGTCTAAGTGGGAGATCCAGCTCTTGCTAACAGACCCGAAAGCAATGAGCGTACCTGAGATCCAGATGTTCAGCCTCGTAATTAAATAAATAGTGAAAATCTGTTTTGCTGGAGTTTATTCTCAAGACTCTTGGGTCCCATTGTGTTTTGTTTCTGAGGTGTTGTGAAACTCTTTGTGTATTTTTTTCAAATACAGTTCTGTTCAAAGTTAGATTTCTTCATCAAACATACCAAGGCTTTGAAGCTCCAAGGCCAGCTGCAGGATACAGAATCCAAAGGTGCCTGGGCTGAAATGGATGTGCAATGTGGGGTGCAAAGGTGCTCACGGACTCGGCTGTAATGTGTATTTTATTATTGCTCTAAATATTGGGAAGAGGTGTTAGTTTAAAAACATTTAACATAAAATGGTCTCTGAAATATTTTTCATGTTTAAGCTTTAGTAAGCTGGACTCTTAGTGGATTAGCTAACCTGTTGCAGAGTCTGTCCTTAGAACAATCCGGAATGTGGGCTCTACCCTTTCTTTTGGTTGCTTTGCAGTTTTGCTTCAGAGAAGCAGCTGTACTCTTGATATCCTCAGATGCCAGAATGCTTCCTAGAGACCCAGGTTATTGAGGTTTTGTGAACTGACCTAAGTTAAAGCAAAGGCACTGAAGGCAGCCAGCGGGGCCGCGGGCGGGACCTTCCCTCTCCTGGAGGAAAGAGACAAAACACTTCTCAGACCGCAGCCACCAGACCCCCGAGGTCAGTTCTGAGAAGGGCGCAAGGTCGGTGCCTGACCCAGTGTCAGATCCACACCGACTTCCCGGGAAACTGGCCAGTTGTTTTCATTGTATTTAGAAAATAATATTTTTTAGAAAAGGTTGTTTTTCCTGGTGGCTGCGGGTCTTCTGCCTCCACTCTGTTCCCAGAGCCTGCCTGGCGTCTGCGGGAGAAGCTTCTCAGCAGGTGCTGGTATTGCGTCTTACGAGTTCCACTTTCCAATTTTGTTTTTGTGTCATGATGCCGCCTGTGCCTCACCCAATACGTACACACTCAGTGTCCTTTATGGAAGAATCCCAGGGTGGCAAGAGAGGAGGGCTCCCGTTTCCTTGAAGTTCAGGATGGAGGAGAAAGTGTAAAATCAGAGGCTCTGCAGGTCATGGGTTTGATGGCTCCAGGTCTTGTGCTAGAAGCATGTTAGTTACAGTTGGGAAGCCCTGAGGACTGACATCGAGATTTCTTGCACTTTATTTTTTTTTTTAATTTTATTTATTTGTTTGTTTATTTTTTGAGACAGGGCCTCACTCTGTCACCCAAGCTGTGGTGCAGTGGTACAATCACAGCTCAGTACAGCCTCAACCTCCCGGGCTCAAGTGATCCTGCCACCTCAGCCTCTCAAGTAGCTGGGACTATAGGGTGCATGTCACCATGCCCGGCTGTTTTGTATTTTTTGTAGAGACGAGGTCTCATCATGTTGCCCAAGCCGGTTGTGAAACTTCTTGCACTTTATAAAGTGACAGGATTAAATTAGATGTTCCTCTGAGATCACTTTCAATGGAAAAAAAATAATGACCCCTTTCAAAAAGAGCACTGATGCCGAAGTATGGAAATAGTTTATTTAGTACATTTTTATTAAGAATGAGTTTACCAAAAAATAAAAATCATTATGATTCTTAGAAGATCTCTTCAGTGCATTAAGCAGAAATGCTGTTTATGTTAGAAATGAATTCACCTGTGGCCACCATAAGTCCATGCTACGCTGGTCTCTCAGATCTGGATCTTTGGTCCTGAACAAGCGAGTCTGTCTGGGGATGTAGGGTTTGCATTCTAGCGAATCCCCAGGGGTGTTTCCCGGGCCCTTGTGTGGTTCGTGGGAGCTGATTACTGATGGCGTCAACATCTTCCATCCGGCTTATGATTCAAGGAGCATTTGTGAAAATGTCCACGTTTCTGAAAACACATCTGCCCCTGGGTCTGCAGTATGCTTCAGGGGTCTGCTCAGAGTCAGCCAGGACGGCGCAAGTTAGCGCATCCATCGACGCTGGGAGCTGTTCGCCTTCCAGAGCTCATAGTAGGAGGGGCAGCAAAGGTGTGTTCCCCCACCGCCACCACCCGTGGCTCTGCTGTGGAGGCAGTGGGCGGCCGGCGGGCAGCCTGGGTCACAGCTGCACCCGCTCCAGTTGGTGCCCTGGGACAGTGCCGTCTGCCTGCCTGTCACTCGGCAGGACCTGGCTCCCAGCGATTTCTCCACAGGTGGAAGCATCCATCTTGAGCCAGCGCACGATGGAGAAACGTTTGGACACCTGAGAATAATTCCAAGCCAGCCTAGGGAAAAATGACCTTGACATGCTGACATGTTGGCTACATATTACAGGACTAAGGGAGTCCACCCACAGCTGTTTTCCTTTGTTGATTTAAACATTTTCTGGTCTGTTTTTCTTTTTAGGTCTGCTGTGTGCCAAAATATTTTACCATGCCCTAAAAGTGAGATGTTGGAAGTGGACAAGGAGGAAATATTTATGAATATTTGAGTCTGTTATTCTTTATGTTAAGCATTTTGGCTTCTGTTGTACTCCTAAATCACTACTGAGAGCAGAGAAAGAGCTCTTTGTAGAAATGAGATGTGTTCCTGTGTGCTGCCTGTGACGCATCCCGTTGTCACCGGAGTGCCGTGGCCCTAAGGAATGACAGCATTAAGGCATGGACGTTAAAGATGGACAAAAGAATTGTTCACGGTGTTGTATTTTAAAATGACTATGTGTATGACAATTAAACTATTGTGTCTTCGTTTACTCCATGTGTTCTGCCTGACAGCTGGGTGCTGGTGTTCAGATACCCAAAGGGTGATCGTGGGTAACTAGCACTGGATGGGTTTAAAAGGTGGGACAGTAAATCTGCAAATGATAGCAGTTCTAATGCTTTTGTAGCAAGTGCAGCAGCTTAAGCTGATCCAAGGATGCAGAGATTCTTCCTCTCCCTCCCCCCATCCCTCTCTGTCTCAGGCACTGACCTTCCTCTGCACAGACAGATGCATGCTGTGACTGATCATGGCCATCAGCTCAGGCCTGAGCATCTAAGCAATGGTCAGAGCTGCTGGAACAGAAATGACAAACAGGCCCCTCGCCTCGTGATCTTAAAATCCTCTTATACAACTTGCTTCTCTTAGAAAACACAAGAGCTTCTTATCTCTGTCTCAAGAAGGGAGAAAAATGGGATGAATGAAGAATAAAGGCTTAGCTGGGGGTTGGGGGTGGTGGTGGCTCACACCTGTAATCCCAGCACTTTGAGGGGCTGAGGCGGGCAGATTGCCTCAGCTGAGGAGTTCAAGACCAGCCTGGGCAACATGGCAAAACCCTATCTCTGCAAAAATATACAGAAACTAGCTGGGCATGGTGGTGCATGCCTGTAGTCCCAGCTACTAGGGGGGCCAAGGCAGGAGGATAGCTTGAGCCTAGGATGCGGAGGTTGCAGTGAGCTGAGGTTACACTCTGCACTCCAGCCTGGGTGACAGAGGGAGACCGTGTTACCCCAAGTTAGGGAATGAGAACCGCGAGTGGATTCACACGCTCATCCCGACCCCGCGTGTCACCGCGAGTGGGTTCACACACTCATCCCGACCCCGCGTGTCACCGCGAGTGGGTTCACACGCTCATCCCGACCCCGCGTGTCACCGCGAGTGGATTCACACGCTCATCCCGGCCCCGCGTGTCACCGCGAGTGGGTTCACAGCCTCATCCCGACCCCGCGTGTCACCGCGAGTGGACTCACACCCTCATCCCGACCCCATGTGTCACCGCGAGTGGACTCACACGCTCATCCCGACCCCGCGTGTCACCGTGAGTGGACTCACACCCTCATCCCGACCCCGCGTGTCACCGCGAGTGGATTCACACGCTCATCCCGACCCCGCGTGTCACCGCGAGTGGGTTCACAGCCTCATCCCGACCCCGCGTGTCACCGCGAGGGGACTCACACCCTCATCCCGACCCCACGTGTCACCGCGAGTGGACTCACACGCTCATCCCGACCCCGCGTGTCACAGCAAGCGGGTTCACAGCCTCATCCCGACCCTGCGTGTCACCGCGAGTGGATTCACACGCTCATCCCGACCCCGCGTGTCACCGCGAGTGGGCTCACACCCTCATCCCGACCCCGCATGTCACCGCGAGTGGGTTCACACCCTCATCCCGACCCCGCGTGTCACCGCGAGTGGGTTCACACCCTCATCCCGACCCCGCGTGTCACCGCGAGTGGGTTCACAGCCTCATCCCGACCCCGCGTGTCACCGCGAGTGGATTCACACGCTCATCCCAACCCCGCGTGTCACCACGAGTGGGTTCACAGCCTCATCCCGACCCCGCGTGTCACCGCGAGTGGATTCACACCCTCATCCCGACCCCGCGTGTCACCGCGAGTGGACTCACACGCTCATCCCGACCCCGCGTGTCACCGCGAGTGGGTTCACAGCCTCATCCCGACCCCGCGTGTCACCGCGAGTGGACTCACACGCTCATCCCGACCCCGCGTGTCACCGCGAGTGGATTCACAGCCTCATCCCGACCCCGCGTGTCACCGCGAGTGGACTCACACGCTCATCCCGACCCCGCGTGTCACCGCGAGTGGGTTCACAGCCTCATCCCGACCCCGCGTGTCACCGCGAGTGGATTCACACGCTCATCCCGACCCCGCGTGTCACCGCGAGTGGGTTCACAGCCTCATCCCGACCCCACATGTCACCGCGAGTGGGTTCACAGCCTCATCCCGACCCCGCGTGTCACCGCGAGTGGGTTCACAGCCTCATCCCGACCCCGCGTGTCACCGCGAGTGGATTCACAGCCTCATCCCGACCCCGCGTGTCACCGCGAGTGGGTTCACAGCCTCATCCCGACCCCGCGTGTCACCGCGAGTGGGTTCACACGCTCATCCCGACCCCGCGTGTCACCGCGAGTGGATTCACACGCTCATCCCGACCCCGCGTGTCACCGCGAGTGGGTTCACAGCCTCATCCCGACCCCGCGTGTCACCGCGAGGGGACTCACACCCTCATCCCGACCCCACGTGTCACCGCGAGTGGACTCACACGCTCATCCCGACCCCGCGTGTCACAGCAAGCGGGTTCACAGCCTCATCCCGACCCTGCGTGTCACCGCGAGTGGATTCACACGCTCATCCCGACCCCGCGTGTCACCGCGAGTGGGCTCACACCCTCATCCCGACCCCGCATGTCACCGCGAGTGGGTTCACACCCTCATCCCGACCCCGCGTGTCACCGCGAGTGGGTTCACACCCTCATCCCGACCCCGCGTGTCACCGCGAGTGGGTTCACAGCCTCATCCCGACCCCGCGTGTCACCGCGAGTGGATTCACACGCTCATCCCAACCCCGCGTGTCACCACGAGTGGGTTCACAGCCTCATCCCGACCCCGCGTGTCACCGCGAGTGGACTCACACGCTCATCCCGACCCCGCGTGTCACCGCGAGTGGATTCACAGCCTCATCCCGACCCCGCGTGTCACCGCGAGTGGACTCACACGCTCATCCCGACCCCGCGTGTCACCGCGAGTGGGTTCACAGCCTCATCCCGACCCCGCGTGTCACCGCGAGTGGATTCACACGCTCATCCCGACCCCGCGTGTCACCGCGAGTGGGTTCACAGCCTCATCCCGACCCCACATGTCACCGCGAGTGGGTTCACAGCCTCATCCCGACCCCGCGTGTCACCGCGAGTGGGTTCACAGCCTCATCCCGACCCCGCGTGTCACCGCGAGTGGATTCACAGCCTCATCCCGACCCCGCGTGTCACCGCGAGTGGGTTCACAGCCTCATCCCGACCCCGCGTGTCACCGCGAGTGGGTTCACACGCTCATCCCGACCCCGCGTGTCACCGCGAGTGGGTTCACACGCTCATCCCGACCCCGCGTGTCACCGCGAGTGGGTTCACAGCCTCATCCCGACCCCGCGTGTCACCGCGAGTGGATTCACACGCTCATCCCGACCCCGCGTGTCACCGCGAGTGGATTCACACGCTCATCCCGACCCCGCGTGTCACCGCGAGTGGGTTCACAGCCTCATCCCGACCCCGCGTGTCACCGCGAGTGGATTCACACGCTCATCCCGACCCCACATGTTCACGTGTTTAATGAACACTGTGCTAGAAGGTCAGCAGTAAACATGCCACAGCACCCCATCTGCTGCAGTGGATGCTGGCTTGGGGAGGACACAAGACCCCCCGACGTGTGGTGTGAGGTGGGGCTGGCGAGAGCTCAGCTCCTCAGGGCTGGAAAGGCTTTTGTCCAGGGGACCCTACACGGGGTGTGGGTGGCAGCTGTCAGTCTGGCGGCCGTGGGGACGGTCGGGGGAGGTTCTCTGCTTTGTGGATGGAAGGCGCTGTCCCTCAGGTGCTGGTGAGAGTGTTGGGGCCTTTGGGGATCCTGGAATGGGCCTCATGGGGCCTGGGGGTTATAAGGGGAGGCCTGGCAGGCTATAGAGACCAGTGCTTGGTCAAGGCAGGGCCTTGAACCGTGCACCCTAGAGAGCAGCTGTCGTGTACATGGCAGGGAGGGTGCTGGCTCCGGCTCAGAACAGCTCCCAGCTGTAGCGGAGCGTGGAGTGAACAGGAGGTGCCGCAGGCTGGGAATTGCCGTCACTAAGAAAAGTGTCAATAGGCAGTCATGGTTCAGAATCCTGGGTGCCCTCAAAATAATAAAAGGTGATGCCCTGCTCTTGATTTTACCCCTTGAAACATAAGCTGCTTTTTTTAGGATACCAGAAGGTGTGACCCCCTCCCGGCACAGTTCCTAAAGTCCGTGCTCCTGGTTTCCTTCTCCTGATGAATAAGGGGCCGTGGAGCCTCCTGAGCCAGTGACTGGGGAATGCACTGGACGCTTGCTGTTCTGCTGGCCAGATGGAGGAGCTCCCTCATGGCGGACAGGCATGCTGTGTCCCTGGAGAGTGGGCAGTGTGGCTCCTGCCCATGGTCACGTAGAGAGAGAGGAATCCGAGGTGGATTCAGTCCTTCCTGCCGCCTGCACCCAGGGAGCTCAACAGCCTTGAGCGTCCCCTGCCGTCCTGTCCTCCCGGCCCGAGCGCCCCGAGCTTTCCACCTTCCCTCGGGCCTTTCTCTCTCTGTTATCACCTGGCGTGACCCTGACTTCAGGCTCTGGCTCAACCTGAAGGACACCTTTTATCTCAAGCTCTTCCCGCCCCTTCAGTAGAATCTGCTGTTCCGCCTCGGGCCCAGGGCTTCCCTCGGTGTTATCATTGACTCAGACTGTGAAGGGGCCTCTCTCCACAGCTCCTGCACCCCCAGGGCCTGGCGGTGGCCTGGCTGCTGTGCACTGAAGAGGCAGTGCTGCCTTCACCTGTCCGAGGGACGGAGCACGTGGACGTGTCAGCTGCATCATCTGCTGTCCCTCCCGGCATCACCTGCACTTTATCCTCTAAGGGGTTAATTTTACGCTTTTGTTCTCTACAAAATGTAGTTTTTAAAATGCTGACACAGTGTTTAGTGAGCAGTGGCTCTGCCCTTGCTGGGTTCTTGTCCTTATCGGGAAGAAGTTTAACCAAAGAGGAACATGCAAAACCCAGCCCCCTTTTAGCCGCTTTGGGCCGTTAAAATATCCAAGCAGGCTGGTTCCCTCTGCCTTGTCTCAGCCAGGGGCTCTCCAGCGTTAATATGTGTCAGAATCACCCTGGGAAAGCTTATCAAAGCTCAGACAGCCGGTCTCTCCACAATTCTGATCCAGCAGGCCTGGTGTGAGCCCGAGAATTTGTGCTTCTGAGGCCCTGGCTTGACCACACTTTGAGAACCTCTGCGCTAAGCTGAGGTTTTGTAGACACGGAGGAGGTTGGTGTCCATAGTGTGTAACTAGAGGCTGGGAGAGCTGGTGTGGAGCCTGCGTGGGCAGTTGGACCCCTTTGTCGTTGGTGTCCTCGGATGCTGTAGGTAGGCTGTGTGTGTTAAGTGTGTGTGTTCATATACAAGTGTTCGTCCCTCTGGAGTCGCTACCTGTGTGTTTCTCAGGAAGACAAAGTGTCTTCTGTGCTAACGCAGTCAGTGTCTGTGGTTGAGAGTCCCTCATCTGAGCTTGCATCTCTCCTCTGGTTGGAAGAGTTACAGCTTTTTGGATGATTCTTCCAGAACCTTTTTTCCTTCCAAGTGTCCTTGGGCTCAATTATGGGCAATTTGGTCCAGGAATGACTGTGGGAGCCTCTGTGTGATTGACCTTGGCAGGGAACCTCCAACCCCACCAGCAAATGTCCTCTGAAGTCCAGGAAACAAGAAAAACACCTGCAGCTGTGGGTAAAATGATGGTGTTGGTATCCCCTGGAGCCTCTGTTCAGTACTGAATTGGACATCAAGTGGCAGGAAGGAATAATTCTTGAGCAACATTTTATGGGCTAGAAATAAATATTAAACGTTAGGAGTAATTCTCAAGAAGTAGCCCCATTATGCGTTAGATAATTTGGATAAATTGAAAGCCCTCTTTTGGTTAGCACTTTAATTTCACAATGTGCCTCCCTGTGGTTTCTATTTCTGTAAAAGCATGTAGAATTTGAACCTTGAAAGGAATAATAGGACTCAAACAAAATATGACAGTAGGTGAGGGTCAAAATTAATATGTGGTTGGGAGTTATGTATGTATGTATAACTACGACCCCACATTTGCTCATGGAAACATCCATGTTTTTTTCAGTCGGAAAATCAAGTTGTGTGAGGAACCTCATTGAGACTCAGTGTCATATTACATCAACTATTTGTCAGTTTCTCGGGTAACCCATCCATTTGAATTGGATGCTTTCGTGTCTCTCCAAGTTGTATTTAATTCTTATGCACTGAAATCATATAGCCTGTTAGAAAGATTTTAGGATGCAGTTGATTTCTGTAATTTTTCGGAAACTTAGTTTTCAGCCCCACTTTCCTCCTTTATAAAATGGAAACAATCACCTCATTGGAGCAAACTCACCTGGTTGGTTGCGTTGAGGGAGACTCATAGGAAGTGACCCATGTGGAAATGCGTGGTCAGCTCGGTGTGCGTGGTCAGCTCGGTTTCCGTGGTCAGCTCGGTGTGCGTGGTCAGCTCGGTTTCCGTGGTCAGCTCGGTGTGCGTGGTCGTCTCAGTTTCCATGGTCGGCTCGGTTTCCATGGTCGGCTCGGTTTCCATGGTCAGCTCGGTGTGCGTGGTCAGCTTGGTGTGCGTGGTCAGCTCGGTGTGCGTGGTCAGCTCGGTGTGCATGGTCAGCTCGGTTTCCGTGCTAAGCTTGGTTTCTGTGGTCAGCTCGGTTTCTGTAGTCGGCTCGGTGTGTGTGGTTGGCTCGGTATGCATGTTCAGCTCGGTTTCCGTGGTCGGCTCGGTGTGCATGGTCGGCTCGGTGTGCATGTTCAGCTCGGTGTGCGTGGTCAGCTTGGTGTGCGTGGTCAGCTTGGTGTGCGTGGTCAGCTCGGTGTGCGTGGTCAGCTTGGTGTGCGTGGTCAGCTCGGTGTGCGTGGTCAGCTCGGTGTGCGTGGTCAGCTCGGTGTGGGTGGTCAGCTCGGTGTGCGTGGTCAGCTCGGTGTGCGTGGTCAGCTCGGTTTCCGTGGTCAGCTTGGTTTCTGTGGTCAGCTCGGTTTCTGTAGTCGGCTCGGTGTGTGTGGTTGGCTCGGTATGCATGTTCAGCTCGGTTTCCGTGGTCGGCTCGGTGTGCATGGTCGGCTCGGTGTGCATGTTCAGCTCGGTGTGCGTGGTCGGCTCATTGTGCATGGTCGGCTCGGTATGCATGGTCAGCTCGGTGTGCGTGGTCAGCTCGGTGTGCATGGTCGGCTCAGTTTCCGTGGTCAGCTCGGTGTGCGTGGTCGGCTCGGTGTGCATGGTCTGCTCAGTTTCCGTGGTCAGCTCGGTTTCCGTGGTCAGCTCGGTGTGCATGGTCGGCTCGGTGTGCGTGGTCAGCTCGGTTTCCGTGGTCAGCTCGGTTTCCGTGGTCGGCTCGGTGTGCGTGGTCGGCTCGGTGTGCGTGGTCAGCTCGCTGCACGTGTTCGGCTCGGTGTGTGTTGTCAGCTCGGTTTCCATGGTCAGCTCAGTGTGCGTGGTCAGCTCGGTGTGCATGGTCGGCTCGGTTTCTGTGGTCAGCTCGGTTTCCATGGTCAGCTCGGTGTGCGTGGTCAGCTCGGGTTCCGTGGTCAGCTCGGTGTGCATGGTCGGCTCAGTGTGCGTGGTCAGCTCGGTGTGCGTGGTCGGCTCAGTGTGCGTGGTCAGCTTGGTTTCCGTGGTCAGCTCGGTGTGCGTGGTCGGCTCGGTGTGCGTGGTCGGCTCAATGTGCGTGGTCGGCTCAGTTTCCGTGGTCGTCTCGGTGTGCATGGTCGGCTCGGTTTCCGTGGTCGTCTCGGTGTGCGTGGTTGGCTCGGTTTCCGTGGTCGGCTCGGTGTGCGTGGTCGGCTCGGTGCGTGTGGTCGGCTCGGTTTCCGTGGTCGGCTCAGTGTGCGTGGTCAGCTCGGTGTGCGTGGTCGGCTCGATTTCCGTGGTTGGCTCGGTGTGCGTGGTCGGCTTGGTGTGTGTGGTCGGCTCGGTTTCCGTGGTCGGCTCGGTGTGCATGGTCAGCTAGATTTCTGTGGTCAGCTCCGTTCAGAAGAGGTGCATATGAGGGGACATGATGCTTTGGGCTGTGAAAATGCAGATCCAGCAGGAGCGCAGAGTCGTGGCCCCTTCCTGGTGGGAGGATATTTTTCATCACTGACTCCGAGGTGAGCTCTTATTCTTCCTCAGCACGCACCCTCATTCCTGGAGCTGCCCTCTTTTGATCTAGGCTGTAAACCAGGATTGGTGACTTACTTTTAGTCTGTAAAGGTGCAGGGTGTTTCCAGAAACAACATACATAGGACATACCAAAACCTCTACTTTCAGCTACTTTGTGTGAGTGAGGATGGCATCTTGATTTTAATTGAGTTACCAGAAATGGTGCAGACTGCTCTCCTCTTTCCTAAGGGGAGGTATCTGTCCTCGGCAATGGATATGGTTAATTTTAAATAACAGTTAAATATAATCTGTAATAGCAGGATTATGTAAATTTTGGGAAATAAGTCCCCACCCATGTTGTATCTGCCACAGACCCCAAACCCACTTTGTGATGGCGATCTTATGTTAACAGTCATAAATGGTAACCAGCGAGTTAGCTTGGAGGTGCGTGGAGATCGCCCCTCGCAGCTACTCTCAGCCTTTTTCTTTGGAGTTGGCAGCTAAAACCTACATGGCCGAGGCATCCGTGTCGACATCCGCCCTGGCCAGAGGCACTCGGGAGGAGACAGAGCCTGTTTCAAAGCCCAGGTTTTGGGGTGAGGGAGGATGTGGCATTTTCTCCTTTCCTGTATTTCTGTGCCTGTTTCTCCTGTTTCTGAGAAAAGTGTTCTCTGAGCCCCTTGCCGTGGGTGAGTGTTCTCCGAACCCCTTGCCGTGGGTGAGTGTTCTCCGAACCCCTTGCCGTGGGTGAGTGTTCTCCGAGCCCCTTGCCGTGGGTGAGTGTTCTCCGAGCCCCTTGCCGTGGGTGAGTGTTCTCCGAGCCCCTTGCCGTGGGTGAGTGTTCTCCGAGCCCCTTGCCGTGGGTGAGTGTTCTCCGAGCCCCTTGCCGTGGGTGAGTGTTCTCCGAGCCCCTTGCCGTGGGTCTGCGGGAAATGTGTACTCCGAGCCCCTTGTCGTGGGTGAGTGTTCTCCGAGCTCCTTGCCGTGGGTCAGCGTTCTCCGAGCCCTTTGCCGTGGGTCAGCTGGACTCTCACCATGCGGAAGAATGTCGGGTAACCATCAGTGCCTGCTCTTCTCTTGGAGTGAGCTCTCTCTTTCTCCCCGGCTGTTTCAGGAGCCTGCGGGGATTTCTTCTGGCTCGGCTGTCGAGGTAATTCTGTGTCCCCTAGATGGAGCCGTCGACCTGATTTGCAGAGCAGAACGGCCAGGGAGTGTCTCTGGGCCGTGTCCTCAGACTGCAAACCCCAACACAGACAGGCAGGAGAGCCCCCAGCCCCAGCACCTGCCTGGCTGGGGAAAGCCAGCAACCCCAGTGAGTCCCTCACACCTGAGTGATGCCTTGTCCGGCTTTCCCAGGGAGGCTGCTCACCCCCTGGCTGTGGAGAGTGGAAGCAGGGACATTCTTGGGGCACAGCCTTGTTTTGGATTGAGCTGTTCCCAAGATCATGATCCATGAGGGAGAAAATCAACAACGTGCCTAGTACAGAAAGCAGATCTGTGGGGCTTCCTTAGGGGTTTCAGGAAAAACATGTTAGACGCAGAGGTGGCTTAGGATTTAACATCTGACCTTGAATCTGTCAGATCACTTGTTATCTTGTAAACGTGAGCCCTCAAAGGAAGCCGTAGGCCTGCAGTCGTGTTCTGCCTGAGATGTGTGTGGAAAATGGTGGTGAGAAGAGCCGTGAAGCGTAGCCCAGGAAAGCACCGCCGGTATTGAGTGATGCATTCAGCATGTGAGGTCACAGACCAGGTCCCCAGGAGCCAGTGGCCAGGGAAGGCCTCCACCCTGGGAGCTCCATCCTCTGGGAAGTCCTGGGGGCTTGGATGTAGGTGGTGGATGTGGGTGTTGGATGTCGGTGGTGGGTGTGGGTGGTGGATGTGAGTGGTGGATGTGGGTCGTGGATGTAGGTGGTGGATGTGGGTGATGGATGTGGGTGGTGGGTGTGGGTGGTGGGTGTGGGTGGTGGATGTGGGTGGTGGGTGTGGGTGGTGGGTGTGGGTGGTGGATGTGGGTGGTGGGTGTGGGTGGTGGGTGTGGGTGATGGATGTGGGTGGTGGGTGTGGGTGGTGGGTGTGGGTGGTGGATGTGGGTGGTGGATATGGCTGGTAGGTGGTGGATGTGGGTGGTGGATGTGGGTGATGGATGTGGGTGGTGGGTGTGGGTGGTGGGTGTGGGTGGTGGATGTGGGTGGTGGATGTGGCTGGCAGGTGGTGGATGTGGGTGGTGGATGTGGGAGGTGGATGTAGGTGGTGGATATGGGTGGTGGAAGTGGGTGGTAGATGTGGCTGGCAGGTTGTGGGTGTGGGTGGTGGACGTGGGTGGTGGGTGTGGGTGGTGGGTGTTGGTGGTGGATGCGGGTGGTGGGTGTGGGTGGTGGATGTGGGTGGTGGGTGTGGGTGGTGGGTGTGGGTGGTGGATGTGGGTGGTGGACGTGGGTGGTGGGTGTGGGTGGTGGGTGTGGGTGATGGACGTGGGTGATGGGTGTGGGTGGTGGGTGTGGGTGGTGGGTGTGGGTGGTGGACGTGGCTGGCAGGTGGTGGACGTAGGTGGTGGATATAGGTGGTGGATGTGGGTGGTGGATGTGGCTCACGGGTGGTGGATGTAGGTGGTGGCTGGTAGGTGGTGGATGTGTCTACCCTGGGGCTTCTCTGTGGAAAGCTCCCCCTGGCCTTCGTAGGACAAAGGATTCTTCAGGAAGCAGTAGGTGGCTGAGAGACCCCTGTGACAGTGTTGGTGAGTGATAACGAAAACTAGGAGGACTGCAGTGGGGAAGGGGGATGAAGGGGGAACATGAGCTGTGCTGCCTTTTCAGGGAGGGCTTGGTCAGTCATGTGGATTTGGACCAGGTGTGAAGGGAAGGAAGTGTTCTGGCCTGTTAGGTTGTCAAATAGTAATAATGCCCAGGTTTCTGTGCATGGGGTAAGTTAATCACCTGTGTTTTGGGCTCTCAGGGGTGGGCAATGCCTCTTTGGCTGCTGTTAGAAGGACACAGTAAGGCAGTGAAGCAATCAAGAAGCAAGCGTGCCTCGCTGCTGGGCTCCAGGAAGGCAGGTGTGGAGAGACGGGCAGTGAGATCTCAGCTGGGGTGCAGTTGCTTGTGATGCTTTCTGGGTTAGAGACTTTGCATCACCTCTGAAGCCCCCAGGACTTCCCAAAGGACGGAGCACAAACGTGACACTTCTCACAGCAGTGACTGCCCTGCCACGCCACGCTGTGTTTTATGGCTCACCGGTCCCACTCCTGCTGGATGTGAAGCTCAGGATGGTGAGATACTACCACAGTCCTCCTTGTAACCCATCCCCTTACAGCCTGGCACAGACTAGGGGCCCAATAAAGCCCTGTTGAGAGGAACTGGTGGTCATAAAACCCAAAATACGGCAAGTTGTCACTTAGTGTTATCCCAGATAAATGGAATATGTAAGAAAATGAAAAGATGGGGGTTCATGATTGCAAACTCTCCCTGGGCAAAACTCAGCCGTCTGTGAATTTGTTGTGTTGCCTTGGCAAAGCCCTGTCCTGTACACAGAGCCTCCATCTCTCCTCCACCTGCCCAGGTGGCTGCACAGGCTGGAGGGCCACAGACAGCTGGGTGAGTTGGTCTCACCGCACCTGCGTGACCACCTGGCTTAAACGCAGTCCTAGCGCTGAAATCTGTGCCATAGGACATTTGCTTTGCCAGTTTGGGATCAGGAGTGTCAAAGTGTGCATGTGACCTGGCAGGACACGACGTCTCTCTAGGCCTCCAGACAGTTGTTTCTCCCGCATGTATCCCAGGGTCTCCTCTCCCATCCTTTCTCAGTAGATGACTTCGATTCCCATTGCACTAAAAGACTAGAAGCTATCGGAGGAAAGTTTCTGCTGAGCTACTCCTTGCCACATTTCAGCTCCCTGTGTCTGTGCCTGTGGCTGCTCCATACCCCCTCGCTATGGAAGAGCTACCCCAGATCTTACCTCGGGTCACCTCTCGACCTGCAGAACGGACCCACCCACGTGCTTCCTCAGGGTCAAAACCCCAATAATTCTTCCCTCTTGTTCTGAATATTCAAACCTTCCCTGTTGACCACATGATCCCCATCACCCCATGGTGAGGCCAGCATTCCCTCCATCTTTCAGAGGAATATGCTTACCTTCAGCTACAGACTTAAAAGGTCCTTGTCATTTCCTCATAAGCACACATGATAAGTGAGCAGAGAGAACCTCCTGCCTATTTCTTTCTTCTTTCCGGAGACAGCTCAGCTGAATGCCCGGTCCATTCCCTGAACCACAGAGGTTGAACGCAGAAACCCTGGTCTAGACTTCCCTGCAATGTCCAGTCTGCTGCCTAAGGGCTGTTTGGCTTTTGGCAATTCACCAAAATTCTCTGCATCTTAGCTTCCCTGTTTATGAAAGCGGACAGCGGTAGTATCCACCTAATAGTTTGGTTGTCAGCATTAAATGAGTGAGTGTATATAAAGCACTTCACACACACAGTGCCCAGCGTATACTCAACACCCCTTACTTTTAAATGTTTTCATTTTTTAAAGTTGATAAATACAAATTGTATATGTCTATGGTATACAACCTGTTGTTTTGAAAGACGTAAACACTGCGGAGAGACTAAATTGAGCTAATTAACGTATGCATTACTCACACACTATCATTTTCTTGGATGAAACCCTTAAAATCTGCCCTCTTAGCAGTTTTCCACTATGCAGTGCCTGGTGGACTGCAGTCTCCATGCTGGGCATCAGTCTCTTGACTTACTCCTCCCGTCTCATTGGCATTTTGTGTCCTTTGACCTCCCCAACCGCGCCCCCACCCAGGTCCTGGTAACCACCCTTCTATTCGCTGCTTCTGTGAGTTCTCTTGTTTAGGTGTCCTTTTTTAGGGACAGGTGTGTGTGTGTTGTCTGTTTTGTTCACTTTTGGATGGGGACACCCAGAAGAGTTCCTGGCACATAGTAAGTGCTCAGCAAACATTGGCAGTAAGCAGGAATGTGCATTTCTAGGTGACTCGCCATAGGACGGCGCCCCCTGGTTGCTCAGATGTCTGCACAAGGTTGGAATGTTGACTCCCAGACCTGCCGTTTGTAATCAAGTTTAACGGGGCTTGGGTCCCAGTAATTTCAAAGTGAAGGGGGCAAGAGGTAAAGCCTTTGGGTTTTAATTAGTGAGAGGGGGAAAGTGAGAGAATGCTAGGAATGTGCAATTCAATTTTGTCGAAGATTTTTCTATTGAGTCACGGAAAGCAGCCCAGCAATATAAAAGCTGCCCAGTTACCAGTAAATTAGTGGTAAATAGAATAAAGTCAGGCAGTTATTAGCAGAAACCATATTTCTGAAGGCTAATGTGGGTTTAATCACTTTTATTTTCCTACTGCCTTCATTTTTGTTCTGCCTTGAATGCAATCTGTAATTTGGCATAATGAAATCCATGCCATAGGACATTTGCTCTGCCAGTTTGGGATCAAGAATGTCAAAGTGTGCATGTGACCGAGGGCCATGCTTCACTTTACCTCTAGTTTGGAGGTTGTTTTTATTTTGCTTGTACTTCATGATCTAAATTCCCCCTCCCATTTCCCCGGCTGCCGTGCATATATGACTTTGCAGGGGTGGATGTGTACATGAATGGGACTGGCTGATTCAAACCTTTTCTGCTGGAATAAAAAGAGATATTAAAGAGAGACATTAAAGGGGACCTAAGTAAGAATCCACATTGCATGTGGGCGTGTTTGAGGCTTTTTCACCTAATATCTGTGTTTCCTTCATCCCCATAACCCAGATGCTGTTGGAGATGTGTTAGTACACGTTGAAAAGGGGGATAAGTGAATTGACTCTCTCCTTAGCATCAGTGTCTTGCATATGTAGCTGCTTTACAAATATGAAGTTGTTTTACAAATGCAAATATAGTATGATCTCTCTTCAGCTCTTGATTAACAGAGATGCTTGTGGAATGAGGAATTTGTGATTTATTAAATTTTCTGCTGAATTTGAATTTCACCACAACCCCCCTTTTTTTTTTCTGCCTAGCCATCTGGGGTCAAGGCCTCACCCATTGTCAGTGCTTGGTAAATGCACGCCAGGTTTGAAAGGACTGAAATGCATCCTTTTTTTGTTGTTTTATTAAAATAATAGGTTTTTTTTAATAATACAGCTTTATTGAGACATAATTCACATACCATAAAATTTACTCATTTCTAGTAAACATTCAGTGGTTTTAATATATTCACAGAGTTGTGCAGCCATCACCACTATCTAATTGCAGAATATTTCTTATCCCCATAAGAAACCCCTAACTGGTTGGCAGTCACTGCCCATCATCTCCTTCCCCAGACCCTGGAAAACACCAGCAGACTTTCTCTTTCTATAGGGAGCCTGCTTTCAGCATTTCATATGAAAGGAAACATACAATATGCAACCTTTGCGGTCTGGTTTCTTTCACTTAGCAAGGTTGTCAAGCTTCTATATTTTATGATATACAGGTTGAGTATCTCTTATCCCAAAGTTTTGGGAAACGAAGTCTTTCGGATTTTGGAATTTTTTTTGGATTTTGGAATATTTGCATTACACTTACCAGTTAATGATCCCATATTTTAAAATCCAAAATGCTCCAGTGAGCATTTCCTTTGAGCATTATGTTGGCAAAATAATATACTTTTCCCAGTGAGTCTCCTCACATCTTAGTGCACTCAGACTGCTGCCACAGAATAGCCTGGATCGAGTGTCTTATAAACAACAGTATTTATTTCCCAAGGTTCTGGGGTATGGAAGGCCAAGATCAAGACACTGGCAGGGTCAGTGTCCAGCGACAGCCACTTCCTGGTCCCTAGATGGCCTCCCACTGTGTCCCACTGTGTCCCACAGAAGGCCAAGGCGGGTCTCTGTGGCCTTTTTTTTTAAGGACTCTACTCTCATTCATGAGGGATCAGCCTTCATGCCCTAATCACCTTCCAAAGGCCCCACCTCCTAACACCATCACCTTGGAGGTTCGGTTTCATCATATGGATTTTGAGGGGACAGAAACATTCAATCTATCGCAGCATCCTTGTTAAAAATTAATATTAATGTTTATTTTGTGGCTCTCAGTTTTATTCCGTTGATCTATATGTCTAGCCTAGGTACAGAGTTGTAACTCAGTCTTTCTTTTATGTTTGAAAACCTTAGACCGTTAAGGCCTGCAAGGGTGCGGACACTGTGGTATTTGACCCGACTGTGTGTAGCTCAAGTTTTGGACCAACCTGCCTGAGTCCGAATTTCCGCTGGAAAGTATTTGACCTTGTGAGAGTTGTTCAACTCCCTAAGCCTCAGATTTTTAATCTACAGAATACAAACGAACTGGATAGAACTGGCCTGCAGTGTGAGACATCTATGAAGAGCACGTAGATCGCTCAGAACTGTGCCCGGCGCGTGTTCTCATTCCAGCCTCAGTCCTGTGAGGCTGTCGTCTCCATTTTACAAAGGACACCCCAAGGCTCACAGACATGCAGGAAGTAAATCAAGGTGAAATGTGAATCTAGTTCCATCTGACTTCAAAGCCGTTGCTACTTCAGTTATTAGGGCCTCTCCTGGTCTCAGTAAGTGCTGATTCTAAAACCTGCCACCGGGTGTTCACAGGTAGCGACGGCATCGTCTGTGCGTCTGTGCTCAGTGAATCTCTGGAAGGTGTGGGGTGGGCCCTGCTATACTCCGCAAGGCCCCTGCTGTGCAAGACAATGTCCCGTCTCTTCTGCTTGAAATGATGTTTAACTAGCAAAGTACAATGGTGAATACTTGGTGTGTTTCCTTGGGCCAAATAATTTGAATAAGCTGGGCTCAAACCACATGCCTTGATGTGGGTGCTGTGATGTTGTTTGAATGAGAAGAAGATGCCGCCCGAGGCCCTAGACCTGGAACTGGGGCTGCGGTGGGCCTAGCCTGTCCCCACATCTGCCGCCGAAGCTGCAGTCTTGGGACAGCCACCCTCTCCTGTGTGCCTTTCTTCTCTGTAAAATGAGTAGCCGGGATTGCATATTCTCCTGGTACACTCTGACTTTAAAATTCAGTGTGCCTATAAATATGACTAAGTGATTTCACAACTATATTTAAAACTGCATGAACAGACTCACGGGTAGAAAAACAGCAGTGATTTGACTGAGCCACACCAGCTTTCGGTTTTCCAGGAAGCATGATAATTTGTAGAGTTTTCAGAATGACATTGATAAGAGATTGACAAAGTTATGTGTCTGTCATTGACCAGTTACTTCCCGTTTAGCCTGCATTCCTGCAAAATACATGGGAGGGGAAGCATCTTGTGGCGGGCACTGTCAATAATGTTTAGACGACGACTGGTGTCTCTGAGCCTCGATTCCACGAGACTTCATCCTCATTGTCTCTCGAGTTACGGGGGAAAATGTGTAATGAAATGGCAAGTTTTATGCAAACGGGGGAAATGTATAATAAAATGGCGAGTTTTATGCAAATATCAATGTTAGGATGGAGGCCTGTTCTACTTCTATAATTTTAACGTCTTCGAAGACACAGACACCTTCTTCCCGTGACTTGCTCAGAGGCTTCCCCAACCAGTGCCACCTGGGTAGGAACATTTGGTCAGCGGCCACTGTTGGAATGTTTCTTTCTAAACACCCTGCTTAACGTCACACGGGAATACAATTTACCCTTTTATCCTTTATTTGTAAAAATTTATTGTGCTTTCCTTGCAATAGATAAATATTGTTTATGTTATAAAAGGTAGGGCGTATACAAAAAGAAAATATTCAGTTATTCCATATTCCTCCACTCTGAAATAACCACTATTGACAGTGTGCTGGATTTACTTTCAGGACACACACAAGCAGAGACATCCTTCCATGAATACAGACCCATGCATGCGTGGATACAGACACAGGCACATATGAATGGAGGCACAGACATACATGAACAGAGACACACAGACGGTGCATAGACACAGGCACATGCACACATGAGTGCAGGCAGTAACAGGTGTGCATACGTGTACACATATGCATAGGCAGTCACATGTGTGGATATGTGCACACGCATTTACAGTCACACACAAGTACATATGTGTACACACATGTGCAGGCAGGCAGACACATGCATATGTACACACGTGGATATATGCACACACATGCTGTCACACACATGTGCCTACGTGTATGCACATGCACAGGCAGGCACATGCATATGTACACACATGCGGATATGTGTACACACATGCTGTCACACACATGTACATACGTGTACACACATGCACAGGCAGTCACACACATACATATGTGTTCACGGATATGCAGGCAGTCACAGCCACGTGTGCCTATAGTTTCAGAGCAGAAACTTTGTATGCCTACAGTTTTAACCAGCTTTTAAATATTCATTATAAATTGTAAATACCTACAGTCCCCGATTTAACCATGGTTTGACACACAATTTTTTGACTTTAGGATGGTTCAAACATGATACAGGTTTCCTGAATGCCATACGAGTGCCCCTCTGCTTCTGTTTTTCACTTTCAGGATAGTACTCAATGTTGCATGAGATATATATCCAACACTTTAGTATAAAACAGGCCTTGTGCGAGGTGGCTTTTGCCCACTGTAAGCTGATGCGTGTGTTCTGTGCACATTCACGCTGGGCAAAGCTGAGCTGTGATGTTATGTGGATTAGGTGTATTAAATGCATTTTTGACTTACGGCATTTTCAGCTCATGATGGGTTTATTAGGAAGTAACCCCATTATAAGCCAAGGAGCGCCTGTCCCTGAATGCAGGAACTTGGTGTTCTTAGACTACAGGAATAGCTAATTGCATCCCATGTACATGGGATAATTCTTCCAACCCAGTCTCCTCATCTTGACATTTAAGTAGCTTCCATTTCATTACACACGTAACACATTTTAAAGTATCTTCTCCTTAAACTGCCTGGCTGTTTTCTCAGGAACTAGTTTGAAGGGCAGATTCTCAGAAACCTTGAGTCAGGAGGTCTGTGGAGGGATGAAAAGGACCTGAATTTTTTACGTGCTTCCCCATAGATTTCCATGCGGCAGTGTGTGATGAGCTTGTGTGACCTATGGGCCTTAGATCGAGAGAGGCTGTCACGTGCCCGGTCATTTCGTGGGTGGGGGGTCATTTTGTGGTGGGGTCATTTCGTGGGTGGGGGTCATTTCGTGGGTGGGAGTCATTTTGTGGTGGGTCATTTCGTGGGTGGGGGTCATTTTGTGGTGGGTCATTTCGTGGGTGGGGGTCATTTTGTGGTGGGGTCTTTTTGTGGGCAGGGGGTCATTTTGTGGTGGGGTCATTCCATGATGGCCCTGGATGGGACAGGGCACAAGGGGAGCAGCTTCTTCCTGGGCAACATTGTCAGCACCACCTCGAAGCACAACTGCATGAGTTGACTTTATCCCAGAAATTTTCTTTTCTCCAGAGGCCTCATTGAAGGGAACCCAGGCTCTCTGGATGGAGCATTTTTCAGCAGCACTCACCTGGGAGGGGCACCGGGCTGTGTTGTCTCAGATCCAGCTGCATCTTCTCTCCATACAAGATCGTTTTACCCTCAGATGCAGAATGATCCAATACCGTCAGCTGTTTACCCTCAGATGCAAAATGATCCAATACCGTCAGCACGTGGGGAGTGTGCTGTCACTTCTGAAGTGAAGGCACAGACTATATTGATGTTAATACCACTCAGCATAAAGATGACATACGCAGAGTATTTTGTCAAAAAGACACAACAGAGAATTTACACATGCACAAATAGAAATAGACTTGCTACTATGTAATTTTATCTAATAGAGCATTTTCTGGGGTCTTAAATGGACTGATTTTGGGATCCAGAGTAAAGTCACGTCTGGTCCACATCACAGTTTAGACTCACGGAAGCTGCTTCTTCTCATGCAGATCCCGCCACGCTCAGCACAGTGGCTGTATGAGGCTGGGGGGCTTCACCTCTGTCTCATGCCTGCTCAGTCACCTGCTGAGTCTCCTGCCTGGGCCCCTCAGGGCTTAGCTCTACTCCTCTCTAAGTGGAGAAGTCGACTGGGAGTCTGCTACGGGTTTTTTCCTTTCAATTTCAACATGCCATGGATTCATGAGAGCAAATGAGCTTAAATGCACCATCTATAAGCCTATTAATTTTTGAATTTGCACACCAGAGGAGTGCCACCTGCCCACATTCTACCCACAATGGGATGCCCCACAAGGATGCAGAGGGAGAAACCAGGCTCAACACGCCTGCCGCCAGCACGCGCCTGCCAACTGCACACTGACGTTGTTCTCCTGTGCCTGGTGTTGCAGCCCCAGAGTGCCTATTGTGGGCACTGAACTCCCGTGTCATGAGGTGGGCCTGGGCCCGGCCGCCCTTCCTGGGCCTGCCTCTGACCACCCCTTCCCCCCATTCTCATGCATGTAGACAGTTCATACATAGCCCAGGGGGTTTTACCTCATTCAGCTGTTTCTTCCTCCTTTCTACAAACTCTGAGGACATACTTTACATGCAAAACCATGCCAAATGCCATGGGGTATTTAAAGCTCAGTAGCCTGTAATCCCTGACTCAAAGGCAGTAAAAAGGAAATAATTTTTGCAGGTAGTTTTAACACATGGCATCACAGCATACACTAGGAATGGGGAAATTTTGCTGTAAGGCGTGGAAAAGGCAGTGGGGAGAGGAGGGAGTATCATCTTTGGAGGAGTTACTATATTCCAGGCATTGTGTAGGAGGAATCCTTTGACGGGGACTCACAGGCAGGGTCCCTGGAAGAGGTGGCATTTAGCTTTGGCCTCGAAAGATGGCTGGGGGATCATTAGCTTCTGTAGGAACAAACCCCATAGATGTTGCATTGGCCTAGTAGGGGGGCAGTTTGTTTTTTCTGGTTGGCCTGGTCATCAGAATAACTCATCTGGGTAATACAGGGAGGGGTTTTCTAGGGGCTCGGTTACACACACTGGACTTGTTTTTAACATATAAGAGAGGCTGGGAGCATTTCTGAAAAATGGCCTATAGAAACACAGGGCAATGACAACCTGTAAGGAGGATAGAACTGGCTGCAATCCATACCTGTAATATTCAAACTCATTATTAATCTTCCCCCAAATGTCTATATAGAGAACCAGGTGATATCCAGGTTAAGCAAATATTCAAGAGAAATGTAAATGTGACCTTCCTTAATTAACAAATTTGCTAACATTTCTCATCACTGCGGAGTTGCTGTAGGATGTTCAGCTGCCCCTTGAATTTACATGTGGAGTAACAAACAAGGAAGCATATGTAATGTGCTTTGCCGTTTGCAATTTCGCAATGGAAAAGAGGTGCTGTACGTTTTGCTTTGTAATTTTGGGTTATTTAAAAGAAATCAAAATAGAAGCGCGGATGTGGTGGAGTCGCATCCATCAGATTCGGAACCTTCTCTCTCCTGGTGACTGGCCAGTCTATTTGGGCAAATTATTTAATGCTATCAGACCTCAGCCTTCTAATTTGTAAAATGCCTTCTTCATAAGATGGTTATAAAGTTTGGGGGAACATAGAATGAAGTGCTTCCTACACAGGCAGTACAAGTGATGAGTTCATACCCTTGGAAGGGAAGGAGCTTGTGCAAGCTTGATCTCCACAGAGAAGGAACCAGAAGGACCAGGTGTGTCCCAGTCAGCTCCGTCATCCCAGTCAGTTCGCAGTCTCCGAGGCCAGGGGTTTTGAAACCTGGGAAGTGAAATGTGTGCATGCAGCTGAAGAAGAGACAGACGCGTGAGTGATGAAGACTGACACAGAAACACACCAAGCAGAGGCCCGATAACTGCGAGGAATTCCGTGGATGTGTACCGTGTTTGGAGACGGGATAATTCCTGGATTTAATTGCAAAGGACCCAGTCTTTCTGCCTGACATATTGGGTGCTAGCAGAATGTTGCCATAACAACCAAGCAAGTAACTGTGGCAGGTTAGCAAGCAGCCAAAAATCATTATAATATTTAAGAACCAAAACTTTAATATTTTATTTTCATTACCGTCACTGGTTTTCCTTCCTAGCAGAATGGATTCCTGTGCTAGTTATGGTAACCTTTTCTGCAGTGCTTTTAGAGCAAGTACTGTTGAGTTTATATTTTCCAAAAGATTAAAAATGATCCCTTTGATGAATTTCACTTTTATTTGGGTCTTTTTGTGTAAAGAAATCTGTGGTTAGCAGTACAACAAATGTGTTACACCGGCTTCCTTTTCCCGGTCAGATTCAGCCTTCCGCTGCTGGGTGCTGTTCATCATCATGAGTGCTGAAATGGGAGCCTCTGAGCCTGTGTGCGGCACCCGGCGTTTCTGGGAAGCTTCCTATAGATTTTTCCTCTCCTGGTTTGAGTACAGGCATGAATGCACGCACACATGTACACGCACGCACACACAGATCCACACGCATGCGCACACACATGTATGCACATGTACACACACGTACACACACGCACACACACGGACACACACGCACACACACACACCATCCATGCATAAAAGTCATTCGCAGTCATGTCTATGCTCAAACCCATTAAAACATTTTTGTGTCCCTGTTTCAGTGTCCGTATTAAATGGCTTGGACTTTACTCTTGGCTCCAAGCATCTTAGATTTGTGGTCACCAGTTACACTTCGGCTTTGTAGACGTCTATCATTGTCAACATAAGTTTTTACATAAGTGCTGTCATTAAAGTAGTCTAACTTACTGTATATTAGAATATATGATATTTCTGCAAATATTTATATTTTCTATGGCGTTCATTATTAATATAGAAATTAAATAAAACATGCCCAGTAATTTATCATCCCTCTCTTGGGTTGTGTACCTAGGAATGATCAGATAACAATTGACTGCTTAATTTAAATAAAACAATGCACTATTCTCAGCAGGAATTAACATTATTTGGAAGGTTTGATTCATGGTTTTTGCATTGTATTGGTGTCACGCTGTTGCACTGGACAAGACCTTAAAAAAACTCTTGGAGGCTGAGATTCAATTACTCTCAATCAAATTGTAAGGAAAAACCATAACTTATCTAAAACATTTTTTATTATCAACTGTTTTCATTAATGCTTTGTGTTTGTTTTATAAAAAGCACTAGAACAAAATAATAACAGCCTTCATAGACAGTGGCACACAAAAATAGTTTTTCCTCATGAAGCAATAATCGCATATAGCAAATTGAATATACTTCCACAGCAAGGAATGTTGAGGCCACATGGTCAGAAAACAGTTCCATGTTACGACGCACATTTAAGATGTTTATAAGGATCAACTTCTTAAAAATTTTACCAAGAGTGAAATCTATGGAATAGACGTTTTGTAAAGATGGATGCTATCAGTGTGTGTTTTGAGACCACTTTTTCTCAATTGTCCAATTGTGTGATTATGTGATGACATTCTCTAAACATAAAGCGCTTTTGCTGGTGGTTTCGGCCTGATGAGCTCTATTTTCTTGAAACAGAAGATGAGTGCATTAAGAACTGTAGCTTCAACTTATCAAACTAGCAAATTGATTTTCTGTTTTCCATTTCAAATCAGAGTCACAGTGATTTGGAGTCATCCGTCCCCTGTAAGTCTCTTCTTCCTGCTCTAAATATTAATGTAATAAGATATCTAGGTTCCTTACCTATGAATGTGTTAGGACTTTATCTGGTTTACTGTTAGGATGAGATAAAATATTTTTCTACTTAAAGTCTGTTGTTATCACTTATAAGAGATTTTACATGTGGACTATTTATTTAATGGCCCTACTAATGTTTTCCATCAAATATCTAAAGCCAAGGACGCTCGTCTTCTCACTGTTGGACTTCCGGGTAGGACGCTGGAAACAGCCGTCGGATAGGCCGTTGGTCACCGTCTTCCAGCTCCTCCACAAAGCAGGTTCCAGAGCTGCATCCCCTGCCATAATAGCCCGGGAATCGGCAGCCAGCACCGTTGCCATGCTGAGTTTTCACGGCTCATTCCACTGAGGAGGCCTCGCCAGCAGAGAGGGGCACCTGAGTCAGGCTCATTTGGGCTTGAATCCTGATTCTTACTTCAAGGATTTGGGCACAATATTTAATCTCTATGGATCTCTGCTTCTCAATCTTCAGATGTCAGGAATAATAATACCTGGCCAGCTAAAGAAAAGAGTGGGTTGGATTGTGGTCACCTTGGTGTGCCCTGGGGGGTGTTGAGATGCAGGAAGCTGCTCCTTATGGAGGCAGCTCAGGGAGTTGAGAGCAGAGAGGGCTTGGTAGCTCCCAGGTAGCAATATTTCACCACTGAGTAAGCATTCAGTTGTATGACTTCCTCAGGCAATTCAGTGTAACACTGGAGGGCTTTTAGAGAAAAATGTAATTCTCGTTTTAGGAAAAAATACCCGTTTGTTCCTGGTTATAACTTTTGATCAAACGACCTCAGTTGAGTGTGTTGTGTGGCATAGTTTTACAAGGGCCTGGTCACGTGGGCCTCTCCACTCGTGGCATCTGTGGCCCCTCTAACGCATCCCATAGTTTCACATAACTGTTCCGTGCATGTGGTGGAGGGTGGAATTCCTCCAGCTCTGTGTGTCCTCTGTCCTGGTTTACCTCAGCCTTCTCCCATTTTTCCCATCTCTTTTTCCTAGTTTGCTTATTTACATGTCTTAATTTTGGAACTTTTTTTCATGTTTTGGAACTGTGTTTCAAAGAGCCATTCTTTAGTCTCTTGTTTGCTGTAGAACTATTAAAGAAAATTTTATTTTTCCCCTAAGCCAGCAGGACTCCAACTAATGACTTCCAAAATGTGTGTAATGAAACACAGCTCCGGTTGAAAGGTGCCAGGACACCGGCACACCCGTGCCAAAATGTGGATTTATACAGGGATGCGTTAGCACTGTGCTGCTGTCAGCATCAGCTCTGGAGTCAGACTGAGCTGGATTTGAATTCTGACCCTGCCAGATCATCGCTCCAGAAGTTTCTTAATTTTGATCTCAGTTTCTTCAGTTGTAAAATGGGAATTCCAGCACTTACATCAGACCAGCTGCAATGAGTACATGCAACTGTGCCCCTGAATTTCTAATTGTACCTGGTAGGTAACTTAGTAAATAGCATTTCCCCCTTAATCCTCTACCTGCATTTTCTGGTGAATACAACCCAAATAGGGAGGTGAGAATTTCCTAACGATAAATCACCTCGAAGAGACAGAGACAGACCGTGTTCGTTAGTTTTCGTTAACCCCAAGAACTCATGGACCCACCAGAATAATCCACACCCGCAGTTTGAGGAACTACTGTGAGATACATATTTTTCTGCATGAAAATGAGTTGTAAAATTATTACTGCAGAGTTTTACCTTTGAAACCTGTGAAACCTTTCAGTGTGAGAATACTTTTTACCCTAGGACACACAGTTCCCTTGAGATATGCATCGGTTACTACACGTAGAAGTTAGCTGCCTGTATTAACATAGGTTATTAAGAAACAGGAGTTTTAGCACAGGTAAATTTAATTACCTACATTGAAGTTAGCCATCTGTATTAACAGGTTATTAAGAAACAGGAGTTTTAACACAGGAAAATTTGAATTACATACAGTTCATGTTAATCCAAACATTCAAATGCTGCACGTATTTTCCATTTTACTAAATCATTATTCACATTAGGGTTATGCACACAAGGGCTAAGTCTTTAATTGATAATTCTTTCCTTCTATGGATATAAATGGCATTGCCTAAGAATTCAGCTCTTCGTTTGTTGTCTCTCTAACTTACTGGCTGTGCTATCTCTTGATTTCTTATGTCTATCTATGGAAGAAGATTAGAAACCTCTATTCTAAACACCGACAAAGTCTTTCTGGAGAATGTAAGCAGGGACCAGGCAAACAAGAAAACCTCCGGTGTAATTTTCTCTGAATTAGATTTGTTTGCGAACAGCTTGTGGCCTTTCATCTTTGAGAATTGTGACTATGTTCATTGATACTAACACCAGAGGTTAAAATGTGTTACCAAGAGAACAAAAGGGAGATAATCTTTAGTTCAATGTAGCAAAACAAAGTACTTGTTGAAGCTTTGATGTTTAAGGCTGGAGAAATAAAAAAAAAAGAGGTTGCATTTCTGGCTCTTATTTTCCAGTTCTTAAATCCTTCATTTTACATTAGGACCCAGAGACATCAAGCTGCATAAACAAGAAAACTTGTTTTGCTTTATTTGTGGCTCTACATGAACCTAAGATTATGGGAAAACATTCTATCAATAGTCTGCTTCTGGTGAACTTAACAGTTTTGAGAAGAAAAGATATTACCCTGCTCTGCCAAATTCCCCGAGTGAGGATCACGTGGGGTTGCATGCGAGTGTATTCCCACAGGGGGCTTGGCTGGATTGACTAGCGGCGGGTCTGGGGGCGCGGCCGGATTGACTAGCGGCGGGTCTGGGGGTGTGGCCGGATTGACTAGCAGTGAGTCTTGATTTCAGCATTTTGCTAAAGACCTTCTTTTGGAGATGTTGCTTTACAAATAGATAATCACTCACTTGGCACTGAGAGAATAAGCCCGAATTTCTGTAGGAACCCAGCACCTGCCACGGCTCCGACGGGCGACCTGACTGCTGCAGGCCATGCTCTGCTGTGAGATGCGGTGTGATATGGGTTCAAAGTTTTGCATCGTCCAGTTCAATCATCAATAGAACTCTAAGGGTGGCTTCTAATACCTGCCCATGCACCCATTCTCAGGTCAGCCTCGAGGGGCCATGCAACAACGTAGCTGGCTAATGTGGTTCAGCAATGGGGAGCACTGTGTTGGCAAAGAGGAGATCAACTTGGAGGGAGCAGGGGGAAGCCTGGCTCATCACGGCTGGTTAAAATCCAAGTTTCTAGCCATCTACCAAGTAGGTTGTTTAACCTGTTGTCATGTATGTGGTTGGTAAATTAGAGTTGTGGTTGTCACCTCTTAAGACAGATTGGCCTTATATTATATGGACAAGCTACAAAGATCAAGTGATCTTAAAAGTGATATTTGAGGCCCACCCCAGATTATTGGATTAGGAATCAGGAAACACCTTGTGGTGTGACTTCATGTGAGTTCCTGGACACCTGTGCGTGCTCGTTGCCCTTGATGGCCACACCCACCTGTGCCTACCTCAAAAGACCTCATCAAAACTGGTGTTAGAAGCTTGAGGTGGAATGCAATTCAGCAAACCTTTATTTAGCATCTCAGGGCTGTACCTTGGGCTGGATGTTGGCCATAGCAGCGTCTGCTTCTGAGAAGACATAAACGGAAGTCTCCAGGGCTCCCCCCATGTGTCCATGTGTCCATGGGTAAACCTCAGGTTCGCCCATCTCTCTGTGTCCAGTGGGAGTCCTAAAGCCAGCAGTGCTGCTCTCTGCTCTGGGGCTCTGTGACAGCTCTCTTTGGGCCCTGGATCCTCTTGGCTTCACTTATAGGGAGAGGCTCCATCACCAGCTGGGCCTCATCCCCTGCCCACTCACCCCTCGGGGTCCCAGCATACTCCATCCCCGAGGGCCTCCTGGGACCCCTGCATCCCCTGGGTATGGACTCTCCCTGCCTTCTCCGTGGAGAAGGCATGAGGGGTGGCATATTCCTTAGGAACACAGCTCTGGAGCCGCACTCCTGAGCCCGAAGGCTTGGGCTCCTCCCTCAGCTCTGTGCCTCAGTTTCTCCCTCCATGAGACAGAGACCCCAGGAGCTCCAGCCTCGGGCTGCAAGAGGATTGAATGAGCAGAGCACGTGGTGTGTGGCGAGTGTGGGCTGTTCAGTGCCCATTGCCTCCCCTCCATTAGGCTGTGAGCTTCCCGGAGGCAGGGGTGTGTTCATGGCTTTTGTTCTGGTTTGCTCCCTCCTGTGTCCCCACCACTTCACAAATGCCTGGTGAATGCTTGTGGGTAGATATGCTGTGGTCAGCCTCCTTGGACCAAGGCGCCCTCTTTGCTGTGGGAAGGCTGAGGGGCGTGAGGCAGGTGAGGGAATTCCACGTCTGTGCAGGCGCAGTGGTGACCGCAGGAACCACCAGGACAGACAGAGACACGCCTCTTGGGAAGGCAGCCAGGCAGTGGGACCGACCATATGGGGCAGTGCAGAGAGTCGGGGGCGGTCGCGATGCAAATCGCATTCTGTGTGGCCCCGGGGGCATGGATCGGGGGTATTCACAGCTGGTGGTTTTGAAGTATGAGTGGGCTCCAGAGGGCCAGAAAAATGGTAGCTGGGACGTCTTGACAGCAAGCAAGTGGTCGCTGGGATGGCTGGGTGAACTGGAAGTGGAATCTCAGGACCTGAGTCTGGGGCTTCAAGTTCCTCCACAGGGTCAGATGCGAACTGTTCCCAGGGTCAGATGTGAACCACGGAGTGGGTGCTTGGAAAAGCCTCAGGGCGTGCGTGGCTGCATCCGTTTCCCGTGGCCACCGTCATGAAGACCACAGACTGGGTGGCTGAAGGTAACAGAAATGTACTGTCTCGCAGTTCTGGAGGCCAGAAGCCCGAAACCAAGGTGGTGAGTGCTTGTGGATAGATCCCCTCCCAAGGCGGGCTCCCTCTGGAGGCCCTGAGGGCGTTGGTCCCTCCGCTGAGTGCTTGTGGATAGATACCCTCCCAAGGCGGGCTCCCTCTGGAGGCCCTGAGGGCGTTGGTCCCTCCGCTGTGTCCTTGCTGTGTCCTTGGTGATCCAGGCCCATGGAAGCGCGTCACCGACCCCTGCCCCTGCTTCACACGGCCCCCTCTCTCTGTGGGTCTCTGTGTCCTGAGCGTCTCTTCTTAAAAGGATGCCTGTCATCAGATTTAGGGCCTGCTCTAATCCAGGATGACCTCACCTCAAGGTCCTTAATTAATCACATCCGTAAAGACCTCATTCCCGAGTAAGATCACATTCTGAAGATCCCAGTGGCCCTACATTTTGGGGGATGATGTTCATCCCGTAACTCCTGGTGATGGTGGTGTCCTCACTGAATGACTGCCCCACATTTCAGGGCATCCTGTGGGCTGCCTTTTCCTCAGAGAGGGGCCTGCGGGTTCCACATGCTGACCTCCCTGTGGGCCTGGGAGGAGGCAGGAGGCCACAGCCAGGGCAGCCTGGGATGCTGTTGAGGAAGAGGAGGTGGGCTCTGCCCCCTCACAGTCAAGGGATCTTAGGGAAGGGAGACTTACTTGCATTCTGAGTGTGTCTCCCAGCCTTCAATGTGTTGATATTTCGATGTTGTGTAATAAACACAGGCATTGGTGAACCATGGATACTTCTCTATGTTGGGCAACCATGGCAGTTCCCCCACGTGGGCAGAGGAACGAATTCCCTGATGCACCCTACACCTTTCCAGCATGAAGAACCCATCCACCAGGTCTGTTTTCCAGGAAGATTCTCATCTGATTTGGTAGACCTGGCGCTGTCCTTTGCCAGCCAGCCTTGTTCGTGGTGAGCCATTCTGTGGAATCGTCGCCCATCCCTCGTGAACTCTTTGGGTCACTGGAATAGTTGCGGGGAAATTTTAGAAGATTTTATGATGAAAATATGCCCGAACACCTGCCTTACTCTCTCCAATGTAGGCCCAACTGTGGTTTCTACCATCAGCTTTCTTTGTAGGCCTGGGCGGTGTGGAAGCTGAAATGTGTGTAGAAATGAGTCCCAGCTCATCGGCTCATCCACGTGTTCGTTGAGGGAAAACCACGCTGCCAGTTAGAATTTACAGTTATAACTCTGCAGCCCATGAGCTGTGGAAGGATCCCGTGACCCCTTCTTATTTGCATCCCCCCCTCCAGCCATGTATTTTGTTTGGGGTAAGACGTGTGTGGACTCGGGTGGAGCAGAGCTGGAGTCTCGCTACTCCCAAGAGCAGCAGCAGCAGAAACGCCCCAAACTGTTGCTGTCACAGAGAGCGAGCGTCCCTGTGGTGTTTTCCAGGGAGCCGGGGCCCAGGTGAGTGGCACGTTGTGCTACAGAATCAGCGAGCTCCACACTGCTTCCCTTCCCTCTCCCTCCCCGGTGAGGACTTTCTCGGAGGTTGCACTGAGCCATTTCCGTGGAGGGCTTTCCTCCTCCTCTGTAACTTTTCAGACACCAGGGAGCACGAGACGTCGCTGGGAGGAGCTGCTCTGTGTGGACGGGGCCCCTCCGAGCACCCTGCCCACTCACTCTTATAAAGACCCATGTCGTCAGCACTGTGACGCTCCCTAGGAAGTTGCCCATTTATGGCTACTAGAGCAAATGATATCATCACAATAGGTGGCTCCTGTCTAAATAGGGATCATTTGTGAAATGAGATTATAGACATTTATCTGAAAAAAAAAAACAGGAGATAGAGGCACCTGCTTTCTGTAATTGATATCCTGGAGGAGAGCCGTGCATGGTAATTAAAGTGTCCATCTCCATGGCTAACTCTGTTACAAGGAAGGAGCTTGCCTCTCCTGCTCTGCACCAAGCAGCCCCCACATCCACATGGAGTCGACTCCAGATCCATGTTTTCTATTATGCTTGACTATATGGGCCATGCATCGCAGTCCTGTGCCTGCCACGCTGCTGCAGTGCCTGGTTTGCAGAGCTCCGTGGCAGCCTGGTCCGGGCTGTGGCTGACTGGAGCCTCGGAGGCACACTCGGTCGTCTTGGCCTGCTTCTCTCGCAAGGATGTGGAAGCTTCCCTGAGTGTAGGTCTCCCCGTCCACCCAGACGCCTCCTGCGCTCGGCGTTTGGATGCTGCAGACGGAGTGGCAGGAGGCTCTCCTCGGTAAGTCAAGGATGACTCATTTCTGACTTTCTGTACCTGGAACGTCCACTTCCCCTGGTGCGGTGGCATCAGGTAGACAGTAGCCAGCTGGTAGCACTCAACTAGTTAATCCCAATAGCCGCTTTCCCTCGATACTTTGCAGCATGTTTTTCCCTTGCCCTCCCTCCCTCCTGGCCATAGGTCTTGCCTTTCTTATAAGTAAAGCACTCATCTCTTGATAGTCGTTGTGATAGCAGCTGGGGGTAGTTGGGGGGAGACTAGTATGACTGTAATCCAGGGAGCATCTTAATTGCCAGGAGGCTTTGGGGGAAAAGCTCTTGCACAGCTGTCCAGAACTACGGTGCTGTAATTCTAAGGAGGCAAGTTCAGTCTTCAGCTATAACCATTTTCCCAATAATCACCGAGTACTGGAGCAATTTGTAACGCAGGAGCTGTTCCAGCTTATTCTCCATTTGCTATAGCAAAGATGCAGCAGCCGGGCTGCTGGTTTCAGTACTCCTTTGGGAATGAGTAAATCCAGGGACCTGCAGCTATTAAGACCTGTGTTTTTCTATGCAAGCAATGGAGTGAGAAGCCTGTGGAAACGGCTTCCTTTGTAATGCTGAGTGCAGTGAAAGATTGGGTGCCTCTTATCAGCTGCATTAAATAGGATAAAAAGAAAAGAGGGAAGATGTTTGACTGATACGCCGCAAAGTGCTGCCATATATTTGTCATTAAGACCAACAACCTCTTCAAAAGCAGAGATTCCAAGATTTAGCTGACCAAGTGGACTGTCCTCTGTTCTGTCTGAAGAGACAGTGTTTTAAGTGTGATGGGAATTGCTGAGATTTTAGAGGAAGCATGCTTCTGAGTGCACACATTTTGACAAGGGTCTCTGCGATCCCCGAGGTCTCGGGGTTGTACCGTCCACAAAGGGCCTTAGCAGTGGGGAACTTTGTAACAAGTGACGGGCACCTGTGCAATCCACAAGACGATGGTCCAGTGTGTTTTGGGAGGGTTTTTCTTTTCGTGCTTCTTGCCTTAGTATACTGGCTTTTTTTTTTTTTTTTTGCTTTTGCTTTACCTCGTGCAAAAATATGCACCTCTTTAAATGGTATTGTCTAGCCTCTTTCTGATGAAATAGAATGTCAGTAAAAGGATGTATTAGCTTAGGCATCTAGGTAATTGCTAGCTTTAAAAGTTCCTGTTATCAATGACCAAAATATCTTACATTAAAATGTTATACTCTGTACAGGACTGAGCATGGCCAATAGGAAGATGTTATTGGTTTGTGCATATTTAGGTGGGTATCGACTATTTCATTCATAATTTTGTTCCCAGAGCTCGGTGCCTCTCCACACGGAGGTTTAGTGTTAAAATGGTGTCTGTTGTGGCCTTTAATTTGCTCATGAAGCAGAGCAAGTCAGTGGGACTCTCTCCAGCTTGGTGAATCACACTTGCTGTTTAGCAACAAGTGCTGGCCTCCGCAGCCAGGGTCGTCTGCCATGCATGCCATTCATACATTTATACGCAGGATGACATGGTTCTCCAGAAGAGCAGTTAGGAGATGCCAGCCTTTAACGGGGTTTGCAGCCCAGGGCAGAGAGTTTCACTGGGAACAACTGCAGCTATGGGAAAGCTTTAGGTCATGGGGACAATCCAATGGCTGGTGGGGCGGTGTGGGACTATTTTACTAAGTTTAATTCTTGCTCCCAATTTGCAACAATTACTCAACAGTAAGTACCTGCAAGTAATGAATATTGCTTTTTTAAGCCAAGTCAACTTATTTATGGTTAAAACAAAACTGGATAACCAGAAAATAAGTTGTGTGTATATACAGTGTTCAGATTGGAAAAATATAGCTGCAAGAGGTACACACAATTCCTCAAATATGTCAGGCAACCTGTTTCATACAACCAAACCAGGGTGCTGTTTGGGGATGTTGTATATTTGATGGATATATAACAAATGTGATTTCACCAGCATTAATAACTTCAAACCAAATGCATTAATAACTTCAAACCAGCATTAATGACATCCACTCAAATGTTATTTAACTGGCATTGATAACCTCAAAACCACCTGCAGTTGTTGTTTTCTAAGGCAATATCTGTTTTACTTAAACACTATTTAATTTGATGGCTTTCTTTTTTCTTCAACAAGGAGGTCTTTAGTAAATTTGACATTCTCTAAAATATTCGCTGTCAACACGGGCTGAATGTGACCTCTCCACGTAGTCAACACATAAAAATTAAGCTCTGCCAATTATATATAACATTTTAAGTGAGTATTTCCTCTCTCCTTTTATCCTGCTGCATGCGGCAGAGGGACAAATGCTTATTAGGAAGACAAGCGTGGTCCGTTTCACCCCCCTCCACCCTGACATGCACACACCTGGCCCCTGCACACACCTAATGTGGAGAATCCGTTTAAGGAACAGTGAAGGGTGGGTGCATGGAAGAGCATTGCGGTATCATGAGAGGTGTAGAAAGGTGGTTTGAAAGGCATGCTGTGCATTCACAGTTTGTTGCTGTGTGAGTCTGGAGATACAGCCAGACACCTCCACACAGTGGCTGATTCCCACCCACCAAACAGCGTGCCCAGGGGATTTCTGAGAAAATATGTCTCCACGCACCAGGGCGCCTGCCTTTATTCACTCTCTCAGTTTAAAATACAGAGTTATTCACCCCTGAGCTTCTGTGCACACAACCCAGTGTTCGCTGAAGCTGTGTCTAAACCTCTGACTCAGTAAGGTCTTTTTAAAGATACAGCCATTGCCAGGAATTTGATTATTAGGTCATGATTTTATTCAAGATTATTTCAAGATAACAACTGGCAGTAAAATTCGCATTTTTCATATGACTAGCATCAGGAAAAAAGTCATCACATTTTCATTTAGAGAACAGTTATTGTGAAATGACTTTCCTGACCACACATCTTTGTTAAAACAGCACTGTATTCAGTAGAGACTGAAAGCACATATTCATGCTGGAGTCGACAGTTTCTGTCTCTTATCACACAACACGGAGCGTTTTGCTTGTAACTCTGTGGTTGGGGAGTACAACATCCTCTAAACCAGTGACCTCTGTAAAATGTGGCTCTGTGCCTTAAGAATGACATTGTTAATTATGAAATGTTTAAAAGATGCCCGTGTGCTTCCTTTCTTATGGGATCATCAGAGACTTTTATGCTCGTCTTCCTTCCAATTCGATACTCTCCTGAGATTCATCTGTGCTGAACGTCGGCACTTCTGGTTATCCCATTTAAGTACATCGTTTGCTCCTTGTGGGGGCAGTTCAGAGACAGAATCCTGACTGTCGAAGCCCCCAAATAGTTCTGTAGGATGGTCTGTCTGTAGGGATGGCCTGGGTCCCAGGAATTCCGGGAAATCTTTCCTAGCTATTTGCTTTCGAGTTGTCATTCTCCCGCGTGGTCTGTGGGGAGAATGCTCTGGGCCTGACTTGAGTGTCAGGAGCCCTCAGAGGAGACACTGCCGAGCTGGACACTGTCCAGCCTGAGCGTGGCCACGTCGTGGTGGTGTCCAGGCTGTGCAGTTGCTGGGGCTAGGTCCGCTCGCTGGCTTGTGGGGCAGGTCTGAGCGAGGACAGTTCCCCACAACGGTCAGGTCTGAGTGAGGGCAGCTCCCCACCACGGTCAGGTCTGAGCGAGGACAGCTCCCCACCACAGTCAGGTATGAGCGAGGACAGTTCCCCACCACGGTCAGGTCTGAGTGAGGACAGTTCTCCACCATGGTCAGGTCTGAGCGAGGGCAGCTCCCCACCACGGTCAGGTCTGAGCGAGGACAGCTCCCCACCACGGTCAGGTCTGAGCGAGGACAGCTCCCCACCATGGGCAGGTCTGAGCGAGGGCAGCTCCTCACCACGGTCAGGTCTGAGTGAGGACAGTTCCCCACCAGGATCAGGTCTGAGTGAGGACAGTTCCCCACCACGGTCAGGTCTGAGTGAGGGCAGCTCCCCACCTTGGGCAGGTCTGGGTGAGGACATGAGGACAGAGCCCCACCACGGTCAGGTCTGAGTGAGGACAGTTCCCCACCACGGTCAGGTCTGAGTGAGGGCAGTTCCCTACCACGGTCAGGTCTGAGTGAGGGCAGCTCCCCACCATGGTCAGGTCTGAGTGAGGGCAGCTCCCCACCACGGTCAGGTCTGAGTGAGGACAGTTCCCCACCATGGGCAGGTCTGAGTGAGGACAGTTCCCCACCATGGTCAAGTCTGAGTGAGGAGGGCAGCTCCACCACGACTGGCCTGTCTTTGTCCTTGGCCTCCACACGCGGCACCTCCGTCCCTGCTGTCTGGATGGCAAAGCTGTGCTTGTAGGGCAGGTCTTCATGGTGAAAAAGACCCTGATGGGACGTGGGAGAGCTGCGGCCCAGTATAGTCTCAGTCCCAATTTCTTCTTAAGTCACCGTCAGAGCCCACGATACCCATTGCCTCGGACCTCAGGGGCTTCCTGGTCGCAGCAGGCGGCCCAGTGGCTTCTGCCGCATCCCCAGCCCAAGCTGCCTGGGCCCCCCTGATGCCCGACTCTGACTGGTGGTGTTTGGTTTGCTGCAGAGAGGGGTTGGTCTCCTTCCCTCCTTCAGGTTCCGTCTGATCCCAGGTGGGTGGGTGGCTCTGACCCAGCCTCTCCGCACAGCCCCCTCTGTGATCTTCCCATTCTTCTGTGACCAGGGCTGTGGCCACGTTGTCCATGTGCCCTGTACCTCGTGCTGCTGGCCTGGATCCAAGTCCCATCTGACCCCCAGTTCCTGGGCTTCCTCCCTGTTCTTCAAGGAGAGACTGAGAAGGCTGAAGGGTATGCTCTGGTCAGGAGGTTCTACCCTCCTAGCGCTTTTGCTTTGGGTTTTCTGACCTGTTGGTGTTCCCGCTGTGGTGCCTACCCAGCAGGGGCCCTGCCTGTAGGAGCATCACCTGGTGCCTGGGAAGCTGCAGGCTCCTGAGTGTACTTGGGAGGTCAGAGGCTTCCTGGGAGGGGGCCACGCTGAGGAAGCCCGTGTGGGAAGACTGTCTCAGCCGTGCCGTCCTCCACACGGGGCTATGCCCGGCCCACGCACGCCTGGGCAACCATTTCCATGCCCATTTTCCAGATGGGAAAACCAAGACTCAGGTGGTTGAGTGACGTGTGTGTGTGTGTGTGTGTGTGTGTGTGTGTGTGTGTGTGTGACTTAATATTTTTAGCACAGTTTTAGGTACCCAGCAAAATTAAGTGGAAAGTGCAGACAGTTCCCATATGGCCCCTGCCCCACCCACGCCCTCCCTCGTGACCCAGTCCCCTCCAGAGCTGTGCATTTAGTGCAGCTGATGGACCAACACGACACGTCATCCTCACCCGGAGTCCGTGGTTCACCTCGGCTCACTCTTGGCATTGTCACTGCACAGGTTTGGGCAGGTGTTTGATGACGACACACCCCCCCATTACAGCAGCCCACAGAGGAGTTTCTCTGTCCTAAAAATCCCCTCTGCTCCGCCCACTCCTCCCTCCCTCCTCATGAACCCTTGGCAAACACAGGACCATTGACTATCTCTATAGTTTTGCCTTTTCCAGAACATCATTTATTTGATGGGAACCACAGTGCACAGCCTTTTCAAATGGGCTTCGTTCACTTTGTAATGTGCATTTACGGTGCCTTCGTGTCTTTTCCTGGCTTAGCTGCTTATTTCTTTTTAGCAGTGAGTGCTATTCCACTGTCTGAATGCTCATAGTTTATCTGTTCCCTTATGAGGGGCATCTCAGTTGCTTCTGAGTTTAGGGAATGATGAATGAAGCTGCCATAAACATCTGTGTGCAGGCTTTCGTGTGGATGTAAGTTTCCAGCTCATCTGGGTAAATATGAAGGCATGCAATTGTTGGATTGTATGACAAGCATGTGCTTAGTTTTGTAAGAAACCACCAAAATGTCTTCCAACGCAGCTGCGTTGTTCACCCCCCACAGTGGATAAGAGTTCCTGTTCATCCACGTCCTCAGCGGCGCTTGAGGCTGTCTGTGCTGGGTTTTGGCCTTGCTCAGTGGTGTGCAGGGAGGTCTGAGGCTTCCCCGGTGGGGACTAAGGCTGTCCCGGTGGCTAGCAGTGGCTCTATCTGTGCATCCTGTGCTGTTATTTTGCTGCTATGTGAGGAGGAGGGAAAGGATGGACGCACAGGAGCGGGGAGATGAGGGAACAAGGACGGAGGGAGGGAAGTGCTGCACAGCAGGGGCTCAGCGCATGTGGGACAGAGGGAGGGAAGGGCTGCACAGCAGGGGCTCAGCGCATGTGGGTCCGGGATATGCCTGGGGTCATGGGCCCCTCCCCAAGTGCTTTCCTGTGAGTGTTCCCAGGGAGACCTCGTGGGGGCTTTTTCTCCAGCCCATCCTCTCCCTGAGCTTGTTTATCAAGAAGATGCTTCTAGAGTGAGGATTTTTGCATAAAAAAGGGAATCTGTGAACCTGGGCAGCCCCGGGGGCTGGGCTCAGGGCAGGTTCTGGCCTGGCCTTTGACCTCTGTGGGACCCAGTCCTTGAAAGACTCACAGGAATGTGCCTAATGGAAACCCAGTCTGGGTAACAAGAACAAACATTAAAAATCCCCGGCTGAAGTTGGCGGGTAGCACTGCCCTGCACTAGACACACATTTATTGCAGCTGACGCGGCAGCAGCATTCTTTGTTGCTGGAAGAGTGATACGGACTCTGGGCAAATATTTGTGGAGAACGAATTGGGCCCCAAATTGTGTTTGCTAAGGCAGTCTTGTTTAAACTGAAAAGAAGGGGCTGGTGGGCAGGGAAGTGGGAGAGGTGGTGGGGGCTGCCAGCTGGGCCGGACAGAGCTGGGGCCCCTGGACAGGTCGCGAGGAGGCCGGGTCGGACAGACCTGCGGCCCGTGGACAGGTCGCGAGGACACCAGGTCTCACTGGAGGACGGGCCGGCTTCTCCCATGCCCTGGGTCCTCCGCACACTCCTGTCCTCTCAGCCCTTAAGGTCAACTGTAACATTTTTAGAATGCTACAAAAAGAAGGCTCAGCAACCGGGGACTTGCATTTTTGCTTTTTTGAGATAACGGTTTCTGGGGAGAACAGTGGGACCTGCACATCCGAGAGTCCGAGCTTTACTGTCCCTTCACCGTGGAAATTATCATGGCTCCCACCTCAGATGTCTTGTCTTTTGCTTAAAAATAGCGTCATTAGAGTATAATATATACTCCTATAAGCACCATACTTAATATGATATTATAATGCTGTACCTACGATAAAAGTTATTTGTGCTCGCCAAATGCTGAGTGCTGGCCTGAGGGCTTGGAATTCAACATCATGTTTGGATTCCACAACAAGATGAGGTGCAGCCACAATGCGTGTCTTGTGGAGGAGGATGCTGTGAGGGCCTGTGGCTGCCTCACGTCTGCGGAAGAGGCCAGAAGCCAAGCTAGAGAGGCCTCAGTTTCCCCTCCCGTCCTCCTTTTGCCAGGCTGAACCCCCTCCCCAAAGCTGCGTCAGAGGACAGAGGGAAGGGATTTTAGATCAGAGTACATTAAACACACATTTAGCTTTGGAAATGTTTTGTTCTTGGACTTAAAAGTATGTGTTTCTGGCACTGTGCATATTCAAACATTCTTTTCTCCAAATCACTACGCTACTTCCTGAAAACCTGTACTTGAGGAAAACCTGAGAAGGTTTTGGGGCATCTTGTGCACCTCTTTGCTCTCTGCTCTTTGACTTCAGCTGATTTGTAGACTCGGCGAGTCCTTTCTTGCCTCCTTTCCTGAGTTCTGTGTTGTCTTAAATGGGAGAAGGAGATCTTTTTTCATGGCGTGGGTTCAGGGCAGCTGCGAGAAGCCACAGCAGGGACTTAGGCAGAGAAGAGGCCCTGTGTCCCGGGTGCCTGGTGAGCAGCGGCTGACATGGGCTCGTCCTGCCATGGCCCAATAAATCTCGTGGTTCCTGAGGGAGGTGTGTGGATTTCACAAACAGTTTTAGAAATGCTCTTGCTTCTGCCATTTATAACATCAACATACAACCCCAAAATGTGTGGTGAAAACACGTGAAAGTCAAATCCGTGTCCTTAGGCTCTGAAATATCTCACAGGTGAGGGGCGATTTCGGCACTGTCCAATGTCTACTCATGTTCCAAACAGAAAGACAGTTTGAAAGGTGCAGCTTTCACATACATACGCGTATGTGAAAAGTGTGAGTGTGTCTGTTCAGACACACATACAGACACAAACACTCACTCCCTCCTTACAGAAAAGACCATGGGGAAAGTTAGCCTTCAAAACTGTTTTCCCTCAGCTAGTATTTGGAATGAATGAATGATTGTGCACAGGAAGAAGGACGCGCTGGCTTTTCCGTGTAGAGAGGCCGTCTGCGTATTCTGAGCTGGGCTGTGGTTGTTCCCACTCGCCCCTCGCCCTCACTCTCCAGACCCCACAATTGCCGACAAGCACTGAGCACCGTTGGCTCCAGGATCAGGAGGCAGAGGGGAAGCCCCTGGAAGACTCAGCCTGTGTTCCGATGGCTGCTTTTCCAAATCAGAAGGGGCATTTTAGCAAACAGTGTGCTGTGGATGAGATTCAGCGCCGGCACCTCACTGAGCAGAATGAGGGTCCTGTGTTTCGGGGGCGACCCGGGCCTCTCTCTCCTGGCCTCCTCCCACTGGCTGCTCCTCCCACGGATTTGCAGCTGACTGCAGCCCAGCTGCCGAGCGGAAGCTGGGGAGGAGAGGATGGTGAGTGGTGCTTTCCAGTTTTAGCTTTTGTGTGATGATAAAAACTGTACTTCTAGAGTAACCCAGCATTAAGTTAGACTACACTTGTCACCTTTTTCTTGTGGGTGAGAGGAATAACCACCACTTTCCACAATGCCTGAAATAACCACTTCGGCCGCCTCCACGGTGCTTGACTTTCAAGGGTGGCTTCCTGGATGACTCCCCTCCCTCCTCCAGCACCACCCTGGATGATGTGCAGTCTCTCCTGGGTGGGGCTGTGCTAGCCTAGGCTGGGGCAGCTGTCCTCAGCTACCAGTCAGGAGAACACTTGCTCCTGGGCGTCCCGGTGCCAGACAGGATCCAGATTTCCCTTCTTATGATGTGCCTTTCACAAAACAGCGCTAGCCTGATTCTTTCCATTTTCTATTTTCTGTGTCTAATTTTTTCCATATCCATTTTCCACCTGGTTCATTTAGTGATACCGATTTTTAAGCCTTATTTTTTTAAGGATTTGTGAATATTGTACAACTTGTTAGGATAACAGTGGAATACTGGCTCCAAGGATGTGTGCAATTTTGATTTATTTTCCTAATATGTGTGTGTATAGATAAATGTCAGTGAAGTGAATATGTGTGTGTGTCAATAAAAGAAATATACTTAATCACCCAGTTATTTAGTCAAACATTTAAAAAGTGACATGTCCTTCTGACCTGGCCCTGCAAGCTGCAGGAGGCTCCCTGGCCTGTGAGTTTAGGGAACTCGTGTCAGTCTGGTTAAGTGGGTGGTTTGGGTGCCGTGCTGGCTGTACGTGGTTTCTCGTCAGTGTGCTGGACATTGGCCGGCCAGCGCTGCCTGGGCCTTGAAGGCAGAAATGGCTGCAGACACCACTCGGATCAGGGAGTGGATGATCTTTGGCTCCGTCCTGCCATGAAGTCGTGCTTAGAGTTAGTTGTGCCACCAACCACCGTCAAGGCACACAGTGGAGGGGGTGCGGGTTTGATGCAGTTACAGAAAAGTTGGTGACATCGAGAGACATTCCCCCAGGGACTGTGAGGGGACCGGGAGCCTCCTGATTGATGGTGTTCAGATGCAGGGCACTCTCTCCAGCTTTCCACTTCCATCGGGGATGGTAGACATTGTAATAACATTTTGGAAAGAAAAAAGCTTCCTATTCATTAATTCTTCATCCATATAATTCATAAATCTTGGTTCTCACATGTGGTCATCCAATGAAAATTTGATGAGTTTGATTTGTAGAAATCTTTACTGGGTGTCCTCCAATGTAAGAATGTTCTTGGAGACTTGAAATGCAGAGTCCTCATTCACGTTATCTTGGAGAACTCGACGCGTGTTTGATTTCACCGCAGCGTTTCTCCCCGCGGTAGTGCAGGCACCTGGCAGGGAGGTGCGGCCTGGCTTGTGGCTGTTCCCGAGAGCATTGGGTGTGTGTTCAGTGAAGGTGCTGGTGGGTTTGACCTTGCTATCCTTTCAAAACAGATCAAGCAAGTCTGTTCACCATCATGCTCTCCTGGAGAAGATGTGCTTCTTATTAAAAATACATCAGCTGCACACAGTGCTTACACTGGCAGGTTCTGTTTAGGGTGGAGAATGACACTTTCTGTTTAGCCAGCGTTTGTTAGGCACGTACCTGGGGTGGAAGAAGAGGCCGTTGTGGGGCTCCACTGCCGGGAAGGTTTCGGGGAGGCTGAGTGTGCCCGGGGACCCTGTGCCTCTGGGATTTCTCCCTGCTGGCTGAGACGGAATCTGCTGTTACTGTATTAATTTAATTAGGGAGTTCCTATGTGACACATTAGGATTTTTAGCTGTATCCGACTAATTATCACTCCCCATTTGTACCTCTCATTTGTACCTCTGATCTTATGTTGTCACAATCATTATAGCACCGTGCTTTACCCAAGAGAATAAAAGCCCACTGTTGAAGTCAGTCTCGTAGCTGTTATTTTGAGTTGAGGCACGATCTGGCTTCCAGGTCTGTCTTCCACCTTCTAAAATCATTTATTCAATAGAAATGACACCAGCAAAACATTTGAGATCATCTTTCTCTTCTGCTATTGGAACATATCAATTTATATATTCTTCCAAAATCAGCTCTAAAGAATAAAATTGTAAAAAAACTGGGTATAAAACAAATAGCCAAATCATTTGTTTTACTAAATTACAGGGAGCTATAAAGTTTTGTAGTTAATACGTTAAGAAATAGTCACTCTGAAATTTTTTTTAATGATCATGGGGTTCTATGATAGAACTATTTTTGTATTAGCCTTGGAAATACAGACATGGATATGTAACTCAGAAAAAATATACTTGCTCCTGAGCTCAGAATTTAAAAGAACAAAACGGTTGATTCAGGATAAATAGCATGCGTTCTCTTACTTTTCCAAAGATGGTTTTTGTTTTCTTAGAAGCACTGTGTCATAGTTCCTTGAGTGAAATGGTGGAACGTGGCACAGACATGTGGAAGGGGATGCAAAGCCCTGCACAGAGGAGCTGTGTGTGCATTTTGTAGATGGCCTGGAACTTGAATTTGGCCAGTGCTTTCCACAAACATTTCCCATGCACGGCTCCCATGCAGAAAGTTAGTAATCCTGAGAACTGCCGTTCCTTCCCAAACGCTTTATCTTTTCACACGTGGATATTTTTATCTTCTGCTATTCTGTGGCAGAGTCCAGGGGAGTAAGTTCTGATGTTTTTTGTACATTTACCTTCAGACTGAGACTGAACTCACCCGGCTGCGTATTCAGGATTCACTGTAACAGAAGGGTTTGCAGCAGAGTGAGGCTGAACTCACCCAGGTACATATTCAGGAGTCACTGTAACAGAAGGGTTTGCAGCAGACTGAAGCTGAACTCACCCAGGTACATATTCAGGATTCACTGTCACAGAAGGGTTTGCAGCAGACTGAGGCTGAACTCACCCAGGTACATATTCAGGATTCACTGTCACAGAAGGGTTTGCAGCAGACTGAGGCTGAACTCACCCAGGTACATATTCAGGAGTCACTGTAACAGAAGGGTTTGCAGCAGACTGAAGCTGAACTCACCCAGGTACATATTCAGGATTCACTGTAACAGAAGGGTTTGCAGCAGACTGAGGCTGAACTCACCCAGGTACATATTCAGGATTCACTGTCACAGAAGGGTTTGCAGCAGACTGAGGCTGAACTCACCCAGGTACATATTCAGGATTCACTGTCACAGAAGGGTTTGCAGCACAGAATTTCTCTTCAGCCTTTCAGTTCACATCATGCTCAGTCTCTGCCTACAGTGTGTCCAGCTAACATCAGAATACAGAAACCCTTTCATGTGGGACAGAGGGAAGTGAGTGAATGCCGGGGACAGAGAGAGCTCCCACCTTCACAGCCGAGGCTGCCCTGGCTCAGGGGCTTCTCCACTCCCCTCTTTTTGCTTCTTACCAAGAGCAAGCCTAGATCAGTAACAGACTTGCAAGGTGAAGATGAGGCGTTTGATCCGCTTGTGAATTAGGTGGAAAATGGACCTCGGTATTAAACTTTGGGGAAAGGAAGAGAGCATTTCCCACTCCTCGTCTTTCCAGTGACCAGGTCGTCAAGGCGTGGGTGATTTTTTAGAAGTCATCTGGTGTATCGTTTAAGATTATATAGACTTGATGCAGGTCCAAGAAAATTCAGTACTGCCCAACAAAGGGATCCGCAGCCTCCAAGAGGTCACTGGGTCATCACCAGCAGGGTCCTGCATGGGGTCAACCCAGTGAAACTCTCCTTGGTCACCTTGCAGTTGGCAGGGGTGCAGCACATCTCACCAACAAACAGTGCAGCAGGGAGTGGTGACCATGTCTCACCAACAAACAGTGCAGCCAGGGGTGGAGTGGGGGATGGCGACTACATCTCACAACAGTGCAGCGGGGGGTGGGGACCACGGTGCCCACTGCACACACCTGCTGTGCCAGGTGAGCCCTCTGGCGATGTCCTCAGACTCAATGGAGTTCACCACTTGGGGCTGAGACAAACAGCCCCTCCTTTTCGGATGAGTGGGAGTTGCTGCAAAGCTCTAGGGGAGGTTCTGCCCAGATGACCACTCCGGCTGCCTTTTCGAGTTAGGACCCTCTTGTTGAGGAGCGTGAGGGAAGGAAAAGTTGAGCTGAAGGATCCCTAGGAGAGCAGGCGATGCGGATTGAGGCGTGCATTGTGGGGTGCTGGAATCCGCAGGAGGAGAACCGCGGCTGGGTGTTCTGGAAGCGGCTGGTCAGGCTCCCAGAGCCCCTTTGTCTCCTGCAATGGGCTTGTTTCTGTGGGTCTCTGGGGTGCCTGTGTTCCAGTCACATTTTTCCCTCTACTGTCCTCTTCTGTGATGGCATTTTCATCCCCTGCAGGGGAGATGGGACAGAAGTTTGCTTAAGTACCAAAAGCTCTGCACACAAGTGAAATCTGAGGACAAGTTAGACATACTGCGCACTGGTTGAGGTCTTTGTATGTGACGTCCTTGATGACCACTTGAACTCTCCCTTCTCCTTCAGGTCCTTTGTGGAAGCAGGAGGGCCCGTCAGTGAGAGCAAGGTTGCATCTGACCCCAGGGCATGTTGTATGTCAGGGCTGAGTGATGAGCAGATGGTTCTTTGTAAAGATAGCTCAGAGGCCGGGTGTCCCAACTCAGGCCTGTAATCCCAGCACCTTGGGAGGCCAAGGTAGGAGGATTGCTGGAGCCCAGGAGTTCAAGACCAGCCTGGGCAACGGAGGGAGACCTCATCTCAAAAAAAATAAAAACAAAAAAAAAGAAAAAAGACCCGAAAAATCACAGGATGGTCTGGGCCTGAGTTCTTAATAGTTATTCTATGGGGTTTTTCCAGAGAGAGCAATTGGAAGATGCATTTGAGGTGTGTCTCTCAAAGAGAAAGAGGAATTCATACTACTAGCAAAAGGTAGGAGGATTTTTTCACAACAACGTTATCTAGAAAATCCACAAGTGATTTAAAAGCACAGGCTGGCTGGGCCTGCTCCAGGCAGCACAAGCTTGCCTGTCCCATGAAGGTGAACCTGACGTTCTCCGCCTCTCCCCTCACCCCTGTGCCACCCGCCTTCCTGCCTGTGAAGGAATGAGCCTATACCGCGTGCTGGTGGTTGGGAATGGCATGAGCCCCCGCCGGCTGTCCGCAGCTCACACGGCACTGACACAGACACTGAGCTGCAAGTCCCAGCTCACTACGTGGCAGTGAGTCGCAGCTCCCCGTCTCCGAGCCTCAGTTTCCATGCAGGAGACGTACGGTATTTTGCGGAAAGTCGGATGGGTTAGAGGGCAGGATGCTTTCGAAGTTCTTGTGGAACAGGAGGCAGATCTGCCGCTCATGGCCCACACCTGGGTTGGTCTCGGAAGATGGCCTCTGGGCTGTGATGCTCCGGCCAGGGCCACGGCTCAGCCCCTCTCTTGAGCCGCCTTCCGTTTTCACTTGTGAATGACGTTAGAAACTTTGCGGTCTGTACGTCTCCTTCCCAGCAGTTGGCAGAGTTTTAGGAATGAAGCATCGTCTTCCTCATCGTTAAAGGCCATTCCCCTTAGTGTGTTAGTGTCCTGGGCTGCCATAACACAGGGCCTCACACCAGAGATCCCCTTCTTCATGGATCTGGAGGCTCGAAGTTCAAGACCAAGAAGGTGGAGGAGGAGTCTGTCCCAGGCCCCCCCCCAAGACCAAGAGGGGGAGGAGGAGTCTGTCCTGGGCCCCCCCAATACCAAGAGGGGGAGGAGGAGTCTGTCCCGGCCCCCCCCAAGACCAAGAGGAGGAGGAGGAGTCTGTCCCGGGCCCCCCAAGACCAAGAGGGGGAGGAGGAGTCTGTCCCGGGCCCCCCCAAGACCAAGAGGGTGGAGGAGGAGTCTGTCCCGGGCCCCCCCAAGACCAAGAGGGTGGAGGAGTCTGTCCCGGGCTCCCCCACACTCCTGATTTGCTGTCAATGTTTGGGGTTCCGTGGCCTGATAGTCCCGATCCCAGCCTTCACCTTCATGCAGTGTTCTCCATGTGTGTCTGTCCTCCGGTTTCTGCTTCTGATGAGGACACCAGTCATGTGGGGGCAGGATCCTCCACTCCAGCATGACCTCACCTTACCTCGTCACCTCTGTAGCAGCCCCTGTTTCTAAACGCAACCATGTTGGGAGGTCCTGGGCTAGGGCTTCAGCACATGCCCCTGCAGGGCACAGTTCTACCCACACCTGTTAGTAAACACTCAGCTCGTCACACGGCAGTCCCATCATATCCGTGGTTCTCAGGAGCAGAGGGGCGGTGGTGATGTCAGGGCCTCAGCTTCTAAAGTGAGTCACTTTCCTATTCTTGCTGCCACTGAGATGTTGGACTTTTAGGTGAACATCACTGGACCCCAATTCCATTCTGGGCTCCACTGTCTACCAGAGGTACTTCATAATATCAACTGGTGTGCTAACAAGAAGGTGAGATGGTGTATGCTCGGGATTGTTTAAACCACCAATGGCCATACAACATTTGCTGGGAAATCTGCCAAAATAACATCTCTAAGTTTTATACTAAGAATGTTCTTAAGAAGCCCTTGAGCTATGTGTTTTGCTCCATTGTTTCTGTAGAGAGATTAGCCCACGCAGTGGTTACTGAAAAATCTTGGCATAGTTTATCAAACTCCCCTTTTCCACAAGAAGATGCTAGCTTCCTGTGTCCTTTTTCATAGCTCTTCTGGGTGACACAGCGGAGCTCACAGCTGTCTCAGCACACGCCCGTGTGCGTGCACGAGTTCTCCAGCGGCCGCCGCACAGCCCTGATTCTCTCCACACCACTGTCTAGTGCATAACTCCAGGGGTGTCATCCACGCCATGTCCTCTGTGGCTGTTGCCAGCTCTACAATATAAATACTTGCTTCCAGGTCAAGCACAGAGGAACTTAAATCCCACCGGGACCCGGTGAGGGTTACCTTCTGTCCCTGGTTTTCCTAAATTTCGAGATGGGAGGGATGGTGAGTCCCTTCCCTTCCAGCTCCCTCAACACGCTGGCCCTCCAGAGACGCTCTCCTGGTTTAGAACATTTATTCATCTAGAACATTATTAACAATGGAAAGAACAGTGGCTTGCACTGTTTTTTAAATTAATAGAATTTATTTTTAAGAGCAGGTTTAGGTTCACAGAAGCATTGAGCTGAAATTACAGAGTTCCCACCTACTCTTTTTGCCTGTATTCCATTTCTCTGCTGTTAGCGTCTCACATGAGGTGGCACATTGGTTACCGTTGAGGAACCAGTATTGATCCATGATTATTGATGGAAGCCCACAGCTTATATCACATCCAGCCTTGGTGTTGCACATTCTGGGGATTTTTGGCACATGTGGAATGGCGTATGCCCACCCTGGCAGCATCACACAGAGGAGTTTTGCTGCCCTAAAAACCCTCTGTTCTCTGCCTGTTCCTCCCTCCCTCTCCTCTAACCCCTAGCAAACACTGATCTTTTACTGTCTTCATAGTTTTTTCTTTTCCAGAATGTCATAGAGTTGGAAATAGACAGTATGTAACCTTTTCAGATGGGCTTTTTTCACTTAGTGATATGCATTTAATTTTCTTCCTTGTCTTTTTGTGGCATTATAACTCATTTCTTTTTAGCCCTGAATAACATTCCATTGTCTGAATGTACCATAGTTTATTCATTCACCTAATGAAGGACATCGCAGTTGCTTCCAAGTTTTGTCAGCTAGAAATAAAGCTACTGTAAACACTTGTGTGCAGGTTTTTGTATGGAGATGTTTTCAACTCATCCAGGTAAATAGCAAGGAGTACAGTTACTGGATTGTCTAGTAGAAGTATGTTTAGTTTTATAAGAAACTGCCAAATGGTTCTCCAATTTGGCTGCACCATTTTGTACTCCCACCAGCAGGGAGGAGAGTTCCTGTTGCTCCATGTCCTCACCAGCGTTTCATGCTGTCAGGGTCTAGCTTGTGGTCATCTGAGCAGGTGTGTGATGGTGTCTTCTTGATTTATTTTGCATTTCTTTGGTGAGAAGTGGTGTGGAGTGTCTTTTCAGATGTTTGTTGCCCTCTACATATGTTCCTTGGTGAGGTGTCTCTTCAGATCTTTGTGTATTTTTTAATTGGATTGTTTTTCTTATTGTTGGGTTTTAAGAGTTATTCATATATTTTGAATATCCACCTTTTATAAGATTTGTGTTTTACAAATATTTTCTCTCAGTCTATGCCTTGTCTCAGTCTATTTTAATAGGAGTGTGTGTGCTGTTTTAAAATGTATTAGTGCCTTAAGTTCTTCTGCATTATTTTGTTTAAACTATTTTTCAAAAAAAATTAAAGTCAGATTAGCAGCCTTTATTGGTTGCTTACTGAGAAACAGATGGTATCTTAAGAGCTCATGTGGCCCTATAAGCTCCCTTATTCTATGTTTTGTGGTTTCGTCATACAGCTATGCTCCCCAACAAAGGAATAAGTTCTAATGGTCATGTGTTTATCTTAGGAACATTTATGGACTGTGAACGATGAATAGGAACTCTCCGAGGTGCTGGAGACACAGAGACAATTAAAATATGATTCATAGATTGGACGAGGTTATAATCCAGTTGGGAGGACAGGCATGGACATAAATAGCAGCAATCCAAGGCCGATGAGAAGTGTCTGCAAGATGAGCCCAGAGCAATGGGGCAGAGGAGAGAAAATTAGCTCAATTTGGGTCTGAAACGTCAGTGAGGATTTCACAGGAGAGCAGCTTTTGATTGGACGTGGCAGGCAGCTGGGGCCGCACGGCCCTGTGAGGGCACAGGCTGGTTAAGTGGCAGTGTAACAGTGCTGGAATGCACTCCTCTCTAACGTGGGTCCTGGTGACTGTTGTTATTCTGCTTCTAGAGATGAGGAAGTGGAGGCTTCTGAAAGAGGAGTGGGTTAAGGGCATGGGTTTTGTCCTCAAGCGTATGATGGGGGGCCTGGCACGGGCCTGCTTCCCCAGCCTCCCAGCCATGTGGCCGTGCTGCAGGTTCGCTGGGGGGTTGCAGTGGCCACTGAGCAGGTGCGGAGCTCCACATTAGAACTACTTGCATTTTTATTTTCCACAAAACACTGAGCTTGCTGTCAGGCACTCAGCAGGCACTTGGTAGAGTCTCCAGGGTGTGATGCGGGCGCCACCCCCGCCCCGCCGCCCGCGTGCTGCTGTGCTCTCCTCCGGGGGGCCGGCCTTTCCTCAAGTGCCTTGTTAATGCTCCTGCAGCTGCCGTCTCTTTAGTGCCCTCACAGAGGTGTGCGTTACGAAGGGATGCTCCTCACACTTAGAAAATCGCCATCAGCCTGTGCACTCTGTGCTCACACGTCTGAAGTGGGGCGGGAAAGCTGCAGGGATGCAGAGCTCCTAGTTTTGTGTAAGGGACTCATCAGGCGGAATAGGGACCTGGCCTCTGTGCTCGCACGTCTGAAGTGGGGTGGGAAAGCTGCAGGGACACAGAGCTCCTAGTTTTGAGTAAGGGACTCATCAGGCGGAACAGGGACCTGGGCCCTGCGCTCTGTCCTTCGTGCTGAACGCAGTAGTTACTCGGTAAAGGGCTGTTGAACAGGTGCTTGTTCAGCTCATGCATCTGGATCCTAGTGGCTGTCTCTGTTCCAGTTGTGAGTCCTGTGCACTAATATATTTAAATCCTTAAGTGTTGAAATTATACTAGGTCAGATCCACTCACTCAGCGCTCTGAGGAGTTGTCCAGGCTACTTTCTCATACTGGACATTTACTGTATTAAATATTGGTTTAAAGGAATATATTGCCTGGAATTCTACATATCTAGCACTAAAATATTTTTGAAAATGGAGAAGCCATCGATATCTTGATAGTTTAACAATACAAAATTATATGCATATTACCTCATTAGCATACACATATATTGTGTTTGGTATATTAAATTTAAAATAAGATTTTATTGAGGTGATGATTATAAAACCTTATTAAATTTGTGTTAATTTGTTCCATCATTTTTTACAATTGAAATAATGCTGAACGTGCCACCTTTCTTACTGTTTTCTCGTTTCTGAAATAATAATGATATTAATAATAACAATAACACATATCTCACCGGGTTAAAGGCAGTATTAAAAGTGTTAATCTATAGGAACTACTTACAGGTTCCTGCACTTAGTAAAAACTCAATAAAAATTCATTCTTAGCTATTACTATTTGTGTTGCTAAATTTCTGGTTAATAATAAGATACATAAGAAAGGTTTTAAGAGAAAGTTTTTTTGAGATGGAATCTTGCTCTGTCGCCCAGGTTGGAGTGCAGTGGCGCAGCCTTGGCTCACTGCAACCTTCACCTCCCAGGTTCAAGCGATTCTCCTGCCTCAGCCTCCCTAGTAGCTGGGATTACAGGCCCCCGTCACCACGCCCAGCTAAATTTTGTACTTGCAGTAGAGACAGGTTTCTCCATGTTGGCCAGGCTGGTCTTGAAACCCTGTCCTCAAGTGATCCTCCTGCCTTGGCCTCCCAAAGTGCATGGATTACAGGCGTGACCCCCACGCCTGGCTAGTTTTGAGAAAAAATATTCAAGATTGTGTTCCTTTTCTTATTAATTCCATTCTGTTCTTTCATGATTTATTGAGTCTTTCCTATAGGCAGGGCACCCAAAGTTCACCCAGGATACTAGGAACTTTGAGAATTTAAAACACTCTCACATGTTCTGAACTTAATTTCACCCACAGCGACAAAGAAGAAAAGAATGTCAAGCAGGCATATTCCATCTCCAGCAGCGAGTGGATGCCGACGCTGCGGCTGCTCCTACCCCTGGCCACTTACTCCCCAATCAGGATGCCAGGAAAATGCCCCCTAAGTTCTAGATTAAATCAGAAGGGGAGATCTCCAAGAAAAGAAGACAGCGAAACTGTCTTTTCCCTGTTCTGAAAATGGCAGAGCCCCCTCTGTGCAGGAAGAAATGCACCTGGCAGTGGCGAGTCGTGTGATGTCTGCCCTACATGTAATATCTTCCTCTGTTTTGAGGCTGTGTGCAGTTTACATAGACACCTTCCTGTTACCTAAAGAACATCTCTGTCTGTCTGGATCCATCTCTTGTCGATCTAGAACTCGAGTGGCAGGTGGAAAACCATCCCCCAGTGTGTTGTGTTTGTAATTTGAAAATTGTTTTCAAGAAATTTTTGCAAAAACAGGAAAAATCTTTTACACATTGATTTTTTATCTCTCTTATTTTACCCCGTTGAGTCTTCCCATTTCTACGTTTTCTTTATTTTTAAAAAAATCACCTTTTCAAAATATTGTCTGGATCTAGCTAAGGGTGGGGGCAGCCAACACGGGATACTAATGGAGAAAATCTTCTGTCCACATTGGGGGTGCCGTGGCTCTCAGAGGAAACTGATAGCAAACTCATGCACAATTAAACTCAGAAGGAGAGGCACACGCCTCGGAACACACATGTCAAAGAACCCACATTTGGTGTGAGCAGGGCTGGGCATGGTGGTGGCTCCACGCTGTGTCAATCATCTGCCTCCATCCAGGGCTCCTCCTGGAGAAAGATGAGAAGGGCTTATTTGAGGACTGCTGGGAGATCAGAGGTATTCATCACACAGGAAGAGGGTGTGCACTCTTTTCTTTGTTAAAAATTTTATCTAGATTGAAAAACCTGGTAGGAACAAAACACTACTTTGTGGAGAGAATCAGTGGTGACTAATTTGGTTTGGGAAAGTAGAATTCAAGATAGGCTATTTCCGAAACCATTTAAAATGAGGATGGGAAAATTAAGGTATTATTTCCTAGTTTTATTCAACTTTTGGGGGAATAGTTTACAAAACTTCTTTTTAGAAGGGATCTGTTATGAAATTATAGTATGTTGAAATGTTAAAATACGTGTCAAACTTTATTAAAAAGGAAGAAGATATATATGGACCACAGTTAATTACTTAGTTATAAGAGTCCATGCTGAGTTTGCTGTCAGTCAAGCCAACAAGAGACGTGATCAGTTACACAGTTATCTGTGTGTGAGAGAGGAGTATTTTTTCTTCAACAGAGGCCAGTTTTGGAGAGGAATATCGTAAATTTTGAAAGGAATTTTTCACGTGGATCCTCTACAGGGGCATCGCGTAACACAAATGTCAGCTCTCCAGCAAGGGCAGGGCATCGTCTCACAGCCCCGGTTCCTAGTGACCAAGGCCAAGCGTGGGACATGAGCTTTGCTTTTTAATTCTTCACGGGCTGAAGGCAGAGCCCCAGCCTTTCGGAGAGGCAGGGGAGAAGAGTAGCCATTCTCTGTTTCTAAATCTTCCTTTCTTGATTTTAGGAAGTAACCAGATCTTACGGGGGGTTTGAAGTCATTTTAACTTTTATGACGTTCGAGTTTGTGTTGACCTTTTAGTGCCCAAATTTATGCTCTTGAGCATTTTGAGCTGAGCTTATTCATTCCACACAGTATACATTTATAAATATTTTAAGTATGAATTTAGTAACAACCTTTTCCCTCATAATTATGCTAACTGATGTAGTGAAATGTTGAGAAAATCAGATATTAATGGTTGGCTGAGCTGGGGCAATTAGGTGGCATTTATGAGTCTTTTGTTATGGCACACGGTTCCAAAGTAGATCATTTGAAAGCATTAATTTCATGTGCAAGCGCCAGTACACGATTCAGCAATTACAACGAGTTATATAAGTTAGATATCAAAACTATGAATGTACCTTAATGAAAAAAGAGTCTTATTTTGCACCACAATGAATTTTTTCTTAATATAGAAAGTGACTCATGTGTCTAAGTGGCTAATAAAGAACTGTGTTCGTGTTCCTAGCAAAATGCAAAATCATAACTTTTTAAAAAATTGGTGCATTTTATTTTATATAAATTGTGCCTCAAAATAAGATAGGACCCTGTGATTGTAAGCTCCTGATAGGCATATGTCCCTGTGTGATTAACACACAAACTTTTATTTTATCTCATTGTTTGGTCACATTTTATTATTTGTATGTACTCTTAACTCAATTATATATTTTAAAGCATTTAAATTTATTTTGTTTAATATCAGTAAGTCTTTTATAGTGAAGTTAAGATTCTTCAAAAGGTCTAGTCTGTCAAACTACCAAGAAGCAGTGCTCAGTCCTTGTGTTTTTTAAAATGTATTCATTATGTATTTATCATGTTATATTGATAAATTATAGTTGCATACTTTATGGGACATAAACTGGTGCTATGATTTATGAATCCAGCATAGAACAATTAAGCTAATTAACATATCCATTACCTCACATATTTAACATTTTTTGTGATGAGAACATTAGAAATTTACTCTTGGCAATATTTAAATGTAAAATACTCAATAATTAGCTGTACTCAGCATGCCGTGCTATTGATCTAGAGACAGACTTGCCCTCCTGTCCGAGGCTTTGTACCCTCTGGGCACCATTTCTCCCTCCCCACATCCCCCAGCCTCGGGTGACCACCCTTCTCCTCACTGCTTCTGTGCTTTCAGTAGTTTTAGGCTCCACGTTTAAGTGAGAACATTCAGTATTTGTCTTTCTGTGCCTGGCTTCTTTCAGTTAGCGTGATATCCTCCCATTCCATGCATGTTTTCAGAAATGACAGACATTCTTTCCTTCTTTTGAGGCTGAATATTGTTCCATTGTGTGCGTACACCACACTTCCTTTATTCGTTGCTCCCTTGATGGACACAGGTTGATTCCATGTCTTGGACATTGTGAATGGAGCTTCAGTGACCATGGGAGTGCAGGCATCTCCACATGCTGATTTCAGATCTGTTTCTGAGTAAACACCCAGAAGTGGGACTGCTGGATCATTCTCTTTTTAATTCCTGAGACACCTTCGTACTGTTCTCCAGAGTGACTGTGCTAATTTACATTCCCACTAACAGCGAACAGGGTTCCCATTTCTCCACATCAAAAACTCTTGGTATCTTTTGTCTTTTGGATAATAGCCATTCGAACAAGTGTGAGCTGATACGTGATTTGATATTGACTGGCATCTCCCTGTGATTAGTGATGCTGAGCTTTCCTACATGTGCCTGTTGGCCATTCAAGTGCCTTCTTTTGAGAAATGTGTGTTCAGGTACCTTGCCCATTTCTTAATTGGATAATTTCTTTTCTTTCTATAGAGTTGTTTGAGTTCTTACATATTTTGGATATTAATCCCTTATCAGATGTATGGCTTGCAAATATTTTCTCCTAACCTGTAGGCTATTTCTTTACCTCATTGATTCTTTGTTGGGCAGAAGCCTTCTATTTGGATACAGTCTTATTTCTCTGTCTATGCTTTTGTTACCTGCGCTTTTGGAATTAAATCAACCAGCATCACCCAGACCAATATTATGTAGTCTTTTCCCCCTAAGTTTTCCTCTAGTAGTTTTGCAGTTTCAGTTCTGATGTGTAAATCTTTGATTATTATTAAAGAGACTGTGCTTTTCCCGTGTGTATTCTCAGCGCCTTTATTGAAGATCAAGCTGTGCATGTGTGGGTTCGTTTCTGGGCTCTCTGTTCTGTTCCATTCGTTGATGTGCATATTTTTATGCCTGTGTGATGCTTTTGTAATTACTGCCACTTTGTAGTATAGATTGAAATCAGGCAATGTGATTCCTCTAGCTTTGCTACTTTTGCTCATGATTTTCTTATATATTTGAGGTTTTTTGTGGTTCCATATGAGTTTTAGAATTGTTTTTTCTGTATCTACAAGGAATGACATTGGTGTTTTAATAGTGCTTGTACTGAATCTGCACATCCCTTTGGGTATGATGGACAATTAAAAATATTATTTCAATCCATGAACACAGAACATCCTTCTATTTATTTGTATCTTCAGTTGTCTTTCATTAAAGTTTTCTAGTTTTTAGTTATGGTTCTTTTACCTCCTTGGTTAAATTTATGCCTAAGTATTTTATTTTTATTTTTTGTTGCCATTGTTAATGGGATTGTTCTCTTGATTTCTTTTTTAGAAAGTTTATTGTTAGTGTAGAGAAACACTAATGACTTTGGCATGTTGATTTTATATCCTGCCATTTTACCACATTTGTTTATTGGTTTTAACAGTTTTTGGTGGAGTTTGTAGGGTTTTCTATATATAATATGGTGTCATCTGCAAACAGGAACAATTTAACTTCTTTCCAATTTGTATGTTTTTCATTTTTTTCTGCTGTCCAATTGCCCAGCATAGGACTTCTAGTACTATATCGAATAGAAGTGGTAAGAGTGGGCATTTTTGTCTTGTTTTGGGTGTCAGAGAAAAAGCTTTCAACTTTTCTACATTGAGAGTATGATGTTTGTTGTGGGTTTGTCATATATGGCCTTTGTTGTATTGAGGTACATTCATTCTATATCTAATTTGTTTCTAATCAAAACACATAGAGTGAATATGTGTATAAAAAGATAAGACCCAACTATATGCTGCCCACAAGAGGTTCACTTCATTTTGAAGGACACACAGCCTGAGAGTGATGGAAAAAGATATTCCATGCAAATGGAAGTCAAAAGAGAGGAAGAGTAGTTACATGAGACAAAATAGACTTAAAGTCAAAAGCTGTAAAAAGAAATGAAGAAGGACATTATATAATGATAAAGGGGTTAATTCATCAAGAATATGTAACAATGATAAATATATGTGCGCCCAACAATGGAGCACCTAAATATATAAAGTAAATGTGAAAAGGATCTAAAGGTAGAGATAGGCTATGATGCAGCAATCATAGGGCACTTTAATATACCACTTTCAATAATGGAAAGATCATACAGACAGAAAATTAATAAGAAAACATTGGACTTGAACAACAATTTAGACCAAATGGACCTAATAAATACAGAACATTGCCAAAAACAGCTAAAGGATACACAGTCTTCTCAAGCACACGTGGAACATTCCTCAGGGTAGATCATTTGTTAGGCCAAAAGACAAATCTTAGCAAATTTAAGAAGATTGAAATCATATCAAGTATCTTTTCTGACCACAATGATATGAAACTAGAAATTAACATGAGGAAGTTCAGAAAATTCATAAATAGATAAAAAAGTTAAACAATGTGCAGAAAAGAGAAATTAATGAATATCTTGAGATAAACAAAAATGGAAACATCATGCGTACCGAAACATATGAGATGCAGCAAAAGCAATTTTAAGAGGAAAGTTTAGCAATATCATAACATTCTGAAGTCTTTCCTCTCTGTCTCAATAAACATGATTTTAGTATGCCCAGACTCTTTCCCTTCATCCGCTGTGTCCTCCAGCTCACTTGAAGTCTTTTCATTCTTTGCCTCTCCAGTTCAGAGTGTTGTCTATGCCTGGCTGTGTTCCTCACTCCAGCTCCTTTCTCAAGGCTGTGAGCAGCATCAAATTGTGTGTGACTCTTGCAGTATTTGGCAGGATGATTTGTAATCTCAGACATTTTGTTTAGTTGTCAGTGAACCACATGTGTGACTCCTCTTTCTCTCTCTCTCTTTTTTTTTTTTTCATGTTCTCTCTGTGCCATCTTCATCTTCTAGGCTGTCTCCTTTGGCTGTTTCATCTGATCTTATTTCTCCAATTGTCACATCAACATCTTTGATTCCCTGGAGCTAAATGGTAGTCTTGATGCATCTCCAAATTGTCAGAGCCTCCTTCCAAAATCTACTGGACATTCTCACCTTGATGATTGGTTATCACTAACAACCCATGTCAAAACAGAATCCATTTTACTGTCTCCTGACCCTCCTGCTCCCTCTGTCCTTTCTCTTCATGGGCTTGCCATCAGCACACAGTGCAAAGCTCTGGATCCTTCTGCCTCCTCCCTGTCTCCACATCCATGTCACCAGGTCCCCACCCTGGCACAGTCCGCCCTCAGGGCACAATGTCAGTGCCAGTTCCTGGGCTATGTGGCCTCCTTATCCATCCTGGATAGAGCTGCACTTCACTGCGTCACAGCTCTGGGTCCCTTCCCGTCTGGCTCTGCCTTCACACCACTGCCAAAATGGATTTCTCCAGCTGGGCTTGGCCCCACAGGGGATGTCTGCTTTGAGAGCTTTGCTTGTTCCACGTCACCAAGGCGGCTGCTGGTCCACCTTCCAGACGACTTCCCATCCCCTAAATGGGCCCTGCAATTTCTGCACTAGTCCTGGTAGCCAATATTCATTGCTTCTCCTTGGACCTCTGTGGCGTTTCATTAATGGACTTTAGAGCTACCATGAAGAGTTGTTCCATATCCGTCTGTCTGTGGCGGGGAGGTGTGGGACAGGGCACCAAGGGCCTGGTGGGGACTGGGTGACACAGGACTTTCTAAGCAAGGTGAAAAGCTTTTCTCCTCCTCATCTGCGTGCTGTTGGCTGATTTCCATCTTCTATGGCAGTTGACCAGTAACACTGCCGGAAATTCAGAAAACAGCTGAATTTTAGTCTTTCTCTGTCTGTTTTTCATGCCCTTGAGATGGGATAAAGCTGTCAAATCTCTGACATGTGGTGCATCATCAGAGATTGTAGGAAATTTAGCTGTGGCTTCTTCCAGGGTCTCCGAAAGGCAAACAGGCAGAAGAACGTTACTTGCTCCCACCACCCCACTCTCTCCACCCCTCATGCAGCAGGCTATGCAATTCTCACTCCCCAGTCTCATTCTCTCCACCCCTCATCCAGCAGGCTATGCAATTCTCACTCTCCCCACCCTACTCTCTCCACCCCTCATCCAGCAGGCTATGCAATTCTCACTCCCCCCACCCCACTCTCTCCACCCCTCATCCAGCAGGCTATGCCATTCTCGCTCCCCCCACCCCACTCTCTCCACCCCTCATCCAGCAGGCTATGCCGTTCTCGCTCCCCCCGCCTCACTCTCTCCACCCCTCATCCAGCAGGCTATGCCATTCTCGCTCCCCGGCCTCACTCTCTCCACCCCTCATCCAGCAGGCTATGCCATTCTCGCTCCCCGGCCTCACTCTCTCCACCCCTCATCCAGCAGGCTATGCCATTCTTGCTCCCCGGCCTCACTCTCTCCACCCCTCGTCCAGCAGGCTATGCAATTCTTGCTCCCCGGCCTCACTCTCTCCACCCCTCATCCAGCAGGCTATGCAATTCTCGCTCCCCGGCCTCACTCTCTCCACCCCTCATCCAGCAGGCTATGCAATTGCTCTGGCCATAGTAGCTGCTGCAAAAGTAAAAATGAAAGTAACAAATCTCTTAGGCCTGCACAGGCTTTCTCCGGACATGGTCTATTGGTCTGTATATGTCGGCCTGAGTGGCACCACAATATGAAAACAAATGTCTTACTTTCCCTTTTGACACCAGCCAGCCGTTTGTCCCCCTGAGGCATGCTGCCCTCACTCATAACCGTGGGCTGGTGAGACTCCATCGCCTTCCTCCAGCATCAGGGGCCTGAATGGGCCCAGAGTCAGCTCCGTCTGTCCCCCAGGGTCTCTCCTGCTGCCCCAGGCCTTCAGCAACATCTCTGTCTCTGCAGAGACTGGCACCCTCCCTCCTTGCCATGCAGGCTGAGAGCACTGAGGCCCACTGCTCAGAGTTGGGTTGGAAGTAGCTGTTTTGCAAATGTGCTGAAAAATGATAGGTTCATATTGATTTTCAGGCCAAGGAATGCTGTTCTTATAAATGCTGTGTTCATGATTTTATCATTTATCATGGCAGTTTAAAGGATATTTTTAAAAGGAGGGGTGTTTTCCTCTGGAGGACATTAAAGGACATTCCTACAACATATCCATCCATTCTTTCGCTTTTGTATGGATTCCACATTGTGATCAGACCTGATTGTTTGGGAGACACTCGGGGGTTGGAGACACATGTGACAGTTTCTTGCCAAAGAGCTGCAGCTCTGAGCTGTGCAAATCCACTGCTTGGGATGAAGTCCGTGACTTTACTGGAAGAAGTGACTTGGGGGGCTGTGGAAACTCACACCCTGAGGACCTGTTTCCTGTTTGCACTCTGGAGCCCTCCTGGCCAGGCAGGGGTGGAAACTCATACCCCGAGGACCTGCTGCCTGTCTGCACTCTGGAGCCCTCCTGGGCAGACAGGGGTGGAAACTCACACCCCGAGGACCTGCTGCCTGTCTGCGCTCTGGAGCCCTCCTGGCCAGACAGGGGTGGAAACTCATACCCCGAGGACCTGCTGCCTGTCTGCGCTCTGGAGCCCTCCTGGCCAGACAGGGGTGGAAACTCACACCCCGAGGACCTGCTGCCTGTCTGCCCTCTGGAGCCCTCCTGGCCAGGCAGGGGTGGAAACTCACACACCGAGGACCTGCTCCATGTCTGCCCTCTGGGGCCCTCCTGGCCAGGCAGGGGTGGAAACTCACACCCCGAGGACCTGCTCCATGTCTGCACTCTGGGGCCCTCCTGGCCAGGCAGGGCAGGCTCTTGGGCTCCTTAGCTTTTGACCACGACAGGGTTCGCCTGTGCCAGCTACCAGCACAGGCATGTGCACAGATGCCTGAGGCAGTCCAGAAATTCAGGGCCTGAGTGGGAGGTTTGAGAATCCACAGGGGGTTTGTCCTGTGGGGAGAGTGGCAGCCCCCTGAGTGGGGAGGTTGGGGGTCTTGCCTCTTGCTGACTGAGCCCTGAGGGGCCTCCAGAGGCTGCTGTGCAGGTGGAAGGCAGTACGCTGTGTGGACGTCTGCTGACTCCAGGGCACCCTGGGGTTTGTTTTCTGTTTCCAAGTTTTTATCCTGCATAGGTTGTTGTTGTTGTTGTTATTATTATTTAGTACAAAAGCTGAATGTAGGGAAAATTCTTTTCATCGAGGACTCTTATTGATGGAGATTTTGTCCAAAAGTCTGTTTAGACTCACATGAAAATCATTTTCTATAATTTCTATGATTTCAGTTTAAACTTAGTATTCCAGTGGCTTGGAGTACTTAGCTAAACTGATTACTTTGGAAGAACATCTTCCATTCTTTGGAATTCTAACCTCATCAGAACGTTAACTTCAGCTTGAGGGACGTGGTGTTTGTCAGTCTTCACTCTGGGTCTGAAAGGCAGTCTTGCCCCGTCTGCGCACAGGGCTCCGGGCAGCCTGCAGCGCCCAGACCCATCTCGAGCAGTGGAGAGCCAGAAGCACACAGCCCACCCCGGTTCTCTCTGGGAGCCTGTGCATCTCTTCCTGGTCATGTAAACGTCACTTCGTGAAGTACTGGAAGCACCCGGTCAGTCCCACTGGGCCACTGAAATTCCAGAGCGGATACTCGAAGGTGAGGCCTGTGAGGATTAAATCTGCCGGCACCTTGTCTGTAAAAACTGTACAAAAATGTTCAGAAGCGTCTGCTGAGCATTGGGTTGGCGAAGGACATGGGGGAGGCCAGTGTTTCGCGGCCTCAGTGGATTCCTTTTCTCAGTCTAGTAAGACGCTAACTATTAAAAACATCTACTTAATAAAGTTACAAAGAGAAATGGAACATCGTCTTCATTCCACCATCCAGATGGCTGGTATTTTGCTGTGTTGCCTTCCTGCGCCCACCTATGTGTGTGCACACACCTGTAGTGCTTTTCAGCCAAGAGCCCGCAGTGATGCCATATCATTCGGCAGGTCCCTCCGGCTGTCATTATCTCTGTGTTAAATGGAGACCTGCATCATGATGCCGGATGCTATGGAGAGATCATGAGTTGGTGAAGCAGTTCTTGTGGGTGGACGTCTGGGTTGTTGACGTTGCGTGTCTCCCGTGGAAGCTGCAGCTCTGGCCCTGAGTCTCCTCCATGGCCCCCGACCCTCTCCCCACTCCTACCCCTCCGCAGCCCCTGTAATTCCTGCCCTCGCCATCCCCACACCTGCCTTCCCCCTTTTCCCTCTTTCGCTCGTTCTGCTTTTCCTCTTCTCTAACGCACAGCTCCCCACATCCCAGGCTGGGGTGTAGCGGCCCAGCCTCTGGGAGTTCCATGTCGTCTGCCACTTCTGCCCCACGTTTTATTTTCTGATTGTTCAGTAGTGACAATGGAACAAAACACAGCGTCAGAGAGCAGCGTGTTTGAACTGCACTCCAGCCGTGCAGCCTCTCCTGCGTGTCTCCTCTCCATGTTTTGGGGACTCTCATGGGAGCGGCCGGTGTCTGCCCCTTCATACCCAGAACAGGCTCTGTCCTCGCCTGCCTGGCTCAAGTCCTGGGTGCAGCTGGCCTCACAGGTCAGCGCTGGGCAGTCACACAGTCCCCAGAATCAGTTTAAGTCCCTGCTGTCTTCACAATTTTCCAACTCAGAGCCTGGCATTTCCACTGTGCCGGGCTGGCACCTCCACAGCCCTCTGCTGATGTGCAATATGTGTGCTTGGTGGCCACGTGGATGCGTAGGGTCCGCCTGGCACCTTGAGGCCTCTTATAGCCTTTGCCGTCAGCGATCCCGGGGCTGGCTTGCCTGTGGTTGGACTTCGCACTTTCCCCTTCCTCTTTGCCCCGTGGTTCCTGCAGAGGATTTCAGGGGTAGGCATGCAGGGAGCATGAGGGCCCTGGGTCTGGGGTCTCCTGGCAGGAAGAGGGGGCTGTGGCCGGCTCTGTGGCATCCACAGGTGGACCCACTTCAGAGGAGTCACATGCCTCTCCAGGGACAGAGCCTTCAAGGCTGCAGACATTGATTGGATCTTGTAATTACAGTCACACTGTCTCGTGCTGAGGTTTCAGGGTTGGTTCTGCAGAATCCTGAAGCCAGAGAGGAACCTGAGGTCCCGACTTGGCCTGGGAGCCCAGATGTGGCTCTCCCAGCAACACAGATGGTGTGGGGGACCCTCCCATGGAGGGCAGAATCCAGCCACAGGGACGGATTCCTGGAAGGCCAGGAGTGTGGACCGGGGCCTCATAACTGGGTTCAGCCCAGATCAGCCACTTACACTGTGTGGTGTGGGGCAGTGAACAGACCCCATAGGGGTGTTTGTGGATAAAGAGAGAGATTGTAAGGAATCATTTCACCGGATATGGGGGCTGCGGGTCCGAAATCCCCAGAGTAGGCCATGGGCAGGCGCCCTGGGAAGAGCCAGTGCTGCAGCTGAGGCTGGCAGCTGAGGCTGAAAACCGAGGCCGAGCTCCTTCCTCCTTGGGGACCGCACGCTTCTTCTCTCACAGCCTCCAGCAGACTGGGTGAGGCCCACGGTATGAGGGCCATCTCCTTCACCCACAGTCCACCAATCTAACCATTAATCCCTTCTAAAAAACACCTTCACACCAACAGCCAGACAGAAACACCTTCACACCCGCAGCCAGAAACACCTTCACACCCACAGCCAGAAACACCTTCACACTGACAGTCAGACGGAAATACTTTCACACCAACAGCCAGACAGAAACACCTTCACACCAACAGCCAGAAACACCTTCACACCAACAGCCAGACCGAAACACCTTCACACTGACAGCCAGAAACACCTTCACACCGACAGTCAGACAGAAACACTTTCACACCAACAGCCAGACAGAAACACCTTCACACCGACAGCCAGAAACACCTTCACACCAACAGCCAGACCGAAACACCTTCACACCAACAGCCAGACAGAAACACCCTCACACCGACAGCCAGACAGAAACACCTTCACACTGACAGACAGAAACACCTTCACACCGACAGCCAGACAGAAACACTTTCACACTAATAGCCAGACAGAAACACCTTCACACCAACAGCCAGACAGAAACAACTTCACACCAACAGCCAGAAACACCTTCACACTGACAGCCAGACAGGTGTTTGACCAACTCTCTGGGCACCATGGCCCACCAGGTGAATACACGACATCAGCCATCATGGGCAGGCACCTGCTGCTTCTGGCTCTAGGAATATTCAGGTCTGGAATGAGAGTTGGGGTCTCAAAGGTGACGATGGGTGCCAGCCGAGGGGTCTGTCTGCATCTGAGGAAGCGGGGCTGAAGTCCATGCCTCTCTGTGTGCAGGTGCTTGTGGATGGATTGAAGTCCATGCAGGCGCTCGTGGATGGAGGGCAGCTCCCCGGTGGAGGGAGGGCAGCTTCGCGGTGGGTGGAGGGAGGGCAGCTCCGCGGTGGAGGGAGGGCAGCTGCGAGGTGGGCGGAGGGCAGCTCTGTGGTGGATGGAGGGCAGCTCCGTGGAGTGGGCAGGGGGCAGTTTGTGCTTCTTGATGCCAGGGCCCATTTGGGAACAGAGCCCTGGGAGAGGCAGGGAACTGGGACTGGCTGAGACTTTGGACGGTAGAGCTGGGAGGTTGAGCATTTCCAACGCGAGTAAAGCTTTCAGCAACTGAAGGCTGAATATTTTAAGGCATTTTAACTTTAATTATGTTATAAAAAATGATTTCTTTCCAATCCACTAACGGAGTTAGAAAGTCACAAGGTGGGTCCACGGTGAAGTGCAGAGATGGAGAATCCAGTATTTACGGTAAAACTGAGGCCTTCCTGTCAGTACAGAGAATGAATAATTAATTGTGTTTTTCTGGGTGAAGAAAAAGAAACAAAAAACCGGCTTCAAGTGCTTTTCTCTGTTTTGTGCTGAGGCTTAAATTTCTCAGTCCTTTGATGGTGCATCACACCTTCCAACATGTCTTGTTTCTATGGCGACAGCGACGAGCTGCAGCTTGAATTCCTCGGCTCATCACAATATGAGGCTTCTTTAGGGATTTACCCGAAGCCCTCAAAATGCCCTCTGTTTTGTGTCTTTATTGACCGTGCAGCGGGCACAAGAGTGGCTGGACAAGCTCCGTGCCTCCCCCTCTTTCTCTGGACCCAGCCGCAGGTTCTTCTCTTAGCGTGGGCATGGCATTGAACACAGAAGGCTTATATTAGGATGTTAGAATGTACTGAGAGTATACAGGGATTATCCAAGCAAACGTCCTGACCCCTTGGGCGAGTGTTTCCTTTTCTTTGGTTTTGGTCGTTGTTTTCCTGAGGGTTTAGTTTAAGTGGACACAGGGAGAAACAGAAGGACAGCTCTGCTCTTCAGGAGCGGCACTTCCAGGTCTCAGCAGCCTGCTCCAGGTGGACCACCTTCCCAAGGTGGAGCAAGACAGCCTGGTGCAACAGCCTGCACTGGCGTGGACCACCTTCCCAGGGTGGAGTGAGACAGCCTGGGGCAGCAGCCTGCGCTGGCATGGACCACCTTCCCAGGGTGGAGTGAGACAGCCTGGTGCTCCTTCAGGAGGGAGATGAAGATGCCGTGGTCACCCTTTACTTGTCATTTTTAAATTGGTGAACACAAAAGCACAGGAATGGAGGCCCTCATAGTTGCGTTAGGGCCACGTTTGGGAAAGAACAGAGAGATGGGTTTAGCACCCAAATCTGCAGAACCGCTCTCTCCCCACCACCTGCCCTCTGCAGACCCTGGACACGAGGCTGGTCCCACCCCTGTCCGCAGCAGACCCCAAGCTCACCCTCGCCCGGGGTTCTTGTTGGGATCCTCCATCAGGGCTGCTTCCGGTTACACTTGACTTCCTGGCGGTGAGCACAGGGGTTTTTGGGTGAAGTGATTCAGAGTCTACTTCCTGGTGACCTTTCTGAGCCCCCTTGCTTTGATTTTAGTAATGGGTTAGCAGTGTCCACCGTCAACACTGTTGTGAGGCTTGGGGGTCTTCAAAGTAAACCATTTTCCGAGTGCTGGGCGCACAGCCAGGACACACAGTGAGGACTGGCTGTAATTACTGTGTTATTGTCGGCTTTATCAGGTCCCAGGCCAAAACAGTCCCGTGCTGGAGAAGAAAGCTCTACTGAGGCTCTACTCTTAAATGTCTTTTTCTTTTTGTAACATAAAAACCTTCTAATTCTAGAATGCAAAGTAAATAGGTAATAAAGCAATTGCATGCATTAGGAAGAGCTTATTTATTTTTCAGTGTGGGCCAAGCTTGAGATGTCTAAGAAATGTTTGCGGAGTGAATGCATGCTCTTCCCTAGAGAACAGGCTCTGGGTGAATTTGACACCAAAACTATCTAACAATTTTAGAGAACTGAATATTTTAAAAACAAAATTAATGATTTTTTTAAGGAATCAAGATCTACATGCTAAATGAAGAAAATATTCAGTGTAAACATTGTTCAAAACGTTTGTTTGTTCAGAGATGACGTTGCCCTAAATTATTTTTCCATTTACATCACACAAGTGTGTAAACGTGTTCTAGGTGTGTTTGGGGTTAATTGGACCTGTTTTCATGCTGTTCACCATGGCTGACTTTCCATGGTTGCTGCCAAACCAGGACTGTTGATTATTTCCCAAGCTCTAAGAAGCACCTGGGCCACTTATAAAATCAAGCCTTGCCAAGCCTTTGCTCAGACCTCTCCCAAGGAAACTTGGATGCAGGAGGTTTGTGTGTGGGCTCAGGGCACCAGCATTTAAATGCATTCCGGGGCATGTTCATCATCAAGAGCTTTAGGGACCAGTGTGTTAGCACAAAAGGAGAAGCAGCAGCACTCAACCTCTGTGGCATGGAGAGGAACCCCCCAGCGTGAGAACTACCTCCCTGTGCTCCAGAGTCGAGGGACTCATCAAGCTCTGTGGCATGGAGAGGACCCCTCCAGCGTGAGGCCCACCTCCCTGTGCTCAGGAGAGTCAAGCTGGGAGCCTAGGGCAGGCCTTCACCCTCTGTGGCATAGAGAGGACCCCTCCAGCGTGAGACCCACCTCCCTGCGCTCAGTAGAGTGGAGCTGGGAGCCCGGGGCAGGCCTTCACCCTCTGTGGCATAGAGAGGTCCCCTCCAGCGTGAGACCCAGCTCCCTGCGCTCAGTACAGTGGAGCTGGGAGCCCGGGGCAGGCCTTCACCCTCTGTGGCATGGAGAGGTCCCCTCCAGTGTGAGACCCAGCTCCCTGCGCTCAGTAGAGTGGAGCTGGGAGCCCGGGGCAGGCCTTCACCCTCTGTGGCATGGAGAGGTCTCCTCCAGCGTGAGACCCACCTCCCTGCGCTCAGTACAGTGGAGCTGGGAGCCCGGGGCAGGCCTTCACCCTCTGTGGCATAGAGAGGACCCCTCCAGCGTGAGACCCACCTCCCTGTGCTCAGGAGAGTCAAGCTGGGAGCCCGGGGCAGGCCTTCACCCTATGTGGCATGGAGAGGTCCCCTCCAGTGTGAGACCCACCTCCCTGTGCTCAGGAGAGTCAAGCTGGGAGCCCAGGGCAGGCCTTCACCCTCTGTGGCATGCAGAGGTCCCCTCCAGCGTGAGACCCAGCTCCCTCTGCTCAGGAGAGTCGAGCTGGGAGCCTAGGGCAGGCCTTCACCCTCTGTGGCATGGAGAGGTCCCCTCCAGCGTGAGACCCAGCTCCCTCTGCTCAGGAGAGTCCAGCTGGGAGCCCGGGGCAGGCCTTCACCCTCTGTGGCATGGAGGGGACCCCTCCAGCGTGAGACCCACGTCCCTGTGCTCAGTAGAGTGGAGCTGGGAGCCCGGGGCAGGCCTTCACCCTCTGTGGCATGGAGAGGACCCCTCCAGCGTGAGACCCACCTCCCTGTGCTCAGGAGAGTCAAGCTGGGAGCCTAGGGCAGGCCTTCACCCTCTGTGGCATGGAGAGGTCCCCTCCAGCGTGAGACCCACCTCCCTCTGCTCAGTAGAGTGGAGCTGGGAGCCCGGGGCAGGCCTTCACCCTCTGTGGCATGGAGAGGTCCCCTCCAGTGTGAGACCCAGCTCCCTCTGCTCAGGAGAGTCGAGCTGGGAGCCCGGGGCAGGCCTTCACCCTCTGTGGCATGGAGAGGTCTCCTCCAGTGTGAGACCCAGCTCCCTCTGCTCAGGAGAGTCGAGCTGGGAGCCTAGGGCAGGCCTTCACCCTTTGTGGCATGGAGAGGACCCCTCCAGCGTGAGACCCACCTCCCTCTGCTCAGGAGAGTCGAGCTGGCAGCCCGGGGCAGGCCTTCACCGTCTGTGGCATGGAGAGGTCCCCTCCAGTGTGAGACCCACCTCCCTGCGCTCAGGAGAGTCGAGCTGGGAGCCTAGGGCAGGCTTTTGCACCATGTTGATTCTGCCTTTGACTGAGTCTGCTTAGAGGTTTGTATGAACCCCAGCCGCATGGCCTTCGACATTTCTGCCTCTTCTCTTACTACGTTGACTGGTTTTGATCTGAAGAGAAAACTGCCGTGAGTTATATTTCCTTGCAACGCAATTCTGCTCTCAGCAAACGTTGGCGGCGCCACTGGACACACGTCCCTCCCCAAGAGCACAGCCGGGCATCCCGGCCTTGGAGCTGGACTGAGTCCCGGCGTCCTCTGCGTATGCGTCACAGAAACTCCTCCGCACACCAGTTTGTTTCCAAAAATATGTTTACAATTTGGAAACTAACTTGGAAGTGAATCGTTTTGGATGCAAAATGGCAAATGAGGTGCCCAAACAATGTTTGTTCACCTTCAATGAATGTTCACCTTCAACCCTGGAACGCGCTTCTGGAACATTCAGGGACACCCGACGTGTGACTGGCTCCTCCTCACGAGGGCCTCCCGGGCAGGTTTGCTTTTTTACAACTTGGTGGGTAAATCTGAGAATGTTTTCCAAGGCACGGAGCAGCTGGGAATGCAGCCAGTGTTTGTTGGGCTTCAGGGAGGACAGGCACAGCGGGCTGGCCCCACCCTGCGATGGCCACCCACAGACGCCGCGACCCACACCAGGCTCCCGGCCGCCCACGGGCGCCGCCACCCACGCCAGGCTCCCGGCCGCCCACGGACGCCGCCACCCACGCCAGGCTCCCGGCCGCCCACGGGCGCCGCCACCCACGCCAGGCTCCCGGCCGCCCACGGGCGCCGCCACCCACGCCAGGCTCCCGGCCGCCCACGGGCGCCGCCACCCACGCCAGGCTCCCGGCCGCCCACGGACGCCGCCACCCACTCCAGGCTCCCGGCCGCGCACGGACGCTGCGACGCACACCAGGGTCCCGGTAGGGCCCTTCGTCCTCACTTGCTTTGAACATCACACAAATCACAGAACGACTTTGCTATTGCTTTTTACCAAATGTGTTGCTAAATGGTGCCTGGGAGGTGGGATAGGTGTGCATTCCAACAGTCTGTTCGTTTGGAAAAGGGTACATTTCATGGCTCACTCCTCTGGGGCTAGTGTGTATTTTAGAAAATACTGTTCTTACAGCATTTCAAAGAGATTCTTTGAAGGCAAAAACTATTTACTAAAATAACCCCAGTTCTCAGCCTCGCCGGTGTTCCTGGCTTCCTGCTTTCCAAAGTGCCCACGTGCCTGGTGGTTTTACCTGGCTGTGCTCTCAGATCCTCTCCGAATGCGTAGTAACTGCGATGAATTCCCGCAGAGGGCTTCTGAGAGTTAATATTTCTGTCATCAGTTTCTTCACATTCACAACAATGAAAAGAAAACAAGCAGCGTCCTGTGTGTTGCGTAGAGACGTGTGTCTCCGGTGTGCATAGGAGCCTTTGATCATTCCTGCAGCCATTTATCTTTGCTCGCAAGTTTCATTCAACAAATTACCGAGTGTCTGGGATGCGCCAGGGCCGTACTGGGGCTACGTTGCTAAGTAAACTCGGTGCCGACCTCAGCCCTCAGGGAGTTTCTGGTCTGTGCTACCACATCCTCGCAGTGGTGTCTCTTCATTAGAGGAGGGACTTCGTCCCTTTCAGAGGCTACCAGGAGGATTAGGAAAAGTGTTCGGATGTGTTTCTATGTGAAGCTTTGAAGCTTCAGAGGTGGAGAACGTCTTCTGCCCTGAGATTTCTACATTAATTAAGTGGGTAGCTTGTTTGAAATCAATTGGTTTACTTACTAAAAGTAGCCTGACATTTAGACATTGGTAATTAGTGTGTACAGTATTTAGAAATACCACAGGTCTTTTATATTTACCCAATCCTTGGGATTCTGAAGATAATTCACTTAAATGTGATAATTCCTTCTGAATATCCATAGACATGCATTCAAAATCCTCATTTCAATGGAAACACGTCCCTTCTATTATGCCGCAAAGCTCTTACAGTAGGCCCCCTTCTCCAGGGTTTTGCTTCCCGAGATTTCAGTTACCCGAAGTCAACTGAGATCTGAAAATATTAAATGGAAAATTCTAGAAATGAACAAGTCATAAGTTTTGAATTGCACACTGTTCTTAGTAGTGTAATGAATCTTGTGCCATCCTGCTCTGCCCTGCCTGGGACATGAATCATCCCTTTGTCCAGCATGTACAGTGTGTGTAGGGAAAAGCTTTGTCCAGCATGTCCACAGTGGACAGCGTGTGTAGGGAAAACCTTTGTCCAGCATGTCCACAGTGTACAGCGTGTGTAGGGAAAACCTTTGTCCAGCATGTCCACAGTGGACAGCGTGTGTAGGGAAAACCTTTGTCCAGCATGTCCACAGTGTACAGCGTGTGTAGGGAAAACCTTTGTCCAGCATGTCCACAGTGTACAGCGTGTGTAGGGAAAACCTTTGTCCAGCATGTCCACAGTGTATAATGTGTGTAGGGAAAACCTTTGTCCAGCATATCCACAGTGTACAGCTTGTGTAGGGAAAACCTTTGTCCAGCATGTCCACAGTGTACAATGTGTGTAGGGAAAAACATGTATTAGAGTTTGTGGTGTGTGTGTGTGTGTGCGTGCACGTGCCTACCCACAGTTTCAGGCACCCCCGGTGGTCTCAGAATGTGTCTTCTCTGATACAGGGGAATTACTCTATAAGAAAATGAAGGTAGGTCACACACTTAGAAGTTGTATTTCAGAGGATAATTGTCAGACGTCATGACTGATGAGTGTGTGAACTTGGCGCGCCTGTTGCATTTCAGCTCCTTTTGACTTCATTCTCTTTCCACGCATGATCTGCCACGCAGGACAGAGTTTTGTAAGAAGGAGGGGCTGCTGAGAAACCGTGTGTTCTGTAGAAATAGACTAACCTTGAAAATGGATTCAATTTCATACAGATGATAGCATTTAAAAATCAATTTCTTAAAGCCACTCATTTTAACCATAGCATTTCAAGTGCTTTATAGCTGTTCCAGTGAAACTTTCTTTAAAGATAAGCAATACCAGTTACATTTCTTTTACCCGCATCACCTGCAGTGATTGGGAGGATGTGGTGAGATTCCTATGCTGGTCCCACGTGGGGTTTCTTCTGGGGTTCCTGGCGTTCACAAGCCCACGTCTACTCCTCAGGGGCTAGAAGGGCCTGAACGGCATCTTCACTCTGATGTTAGCAATTTGAATCTGCACTGATGGGCATGGCAGACGCAAATGTTAAGTGACATAAAATCTGTCTCTGAGTGTGCAGCCTGGGGGATCTGGAAGAACTGCCGAATGGAACTGGGAAAACAATTCCTTAAAATCCAACAAAGGCTCACTCACCAACACAGGGTGGGGGGCCAAGGCCGAGGAGCAGGGGGGCCATTTGTTGGCCAGTGTATGCTCTGCTTGCAGAATCAGTAAGTGAGCATGCTGTTTATTAGAATTCCGCCACAGGCTACAAAGTGGATGAACCTTGAGGACATTAAGCACAGTGAACAGGCCGGCCACAGAGGGACACCCACAATGTGAGCGACTCACAGGAGGCACCCAGAGTCTGCAGATTCACAGAGACAGAAGGCAGACGGGGGTGCCGGGGCTGGGGGTGGAGGGGGCATTTCATGGCGGCAGACGCTCAGTCTGGGAAGATGGAAGAGTTCCGGAGATGGTGACACGACAATGGGAAGGTCCTCATCACCCCTGAGCCAAACATGACACGACGATGGGAAGGTCCTCGTCACCCCTGAGCCGAACACGACACGACGATGGGAAGGTCCTCGTCACCCCGGAGCCGAACACGACACGACGATGGGAAGCTCCTCGTCACCCCTGAGCCGAACACGACACGACGATGGGAAGGTCCTCGTCACCCCTGAGCCGAACACGACACGACGATGGGAAGCTCCTCGTCACCCCTGAGCCGAACACAACACGACGATGGGAAGGTCCTCGTCACCCCTGAGCCGAACACGACACGATGATGGGAAGGTCCTTGTCACCACTGAGGCAAACACCTAAGACAGTCAAGATGGTGGATTTTATATTATGTTTATTTTAGCACAAAAAAGGAAAAAAGATTTATGAACTTAAAAAAGCAGCCAGCATATTGTATTATAGGGGAACATTCAATTCAGGAAATGTTCAGATAAAGAGAAGAACTCATATTATAAAACAACATATGTGATATGACACACATTTTATTCAATATAAATTAGTAAAAGCTTAATATATATTCAAGCTTTTACTAATTTATAATTATATATAATATTGAATTACATATTGAATATATATAATGAATATAGATTCAAGCTTTTACTGATTAATATTAATATATATTTACATACATATATAATATATAATATAAAAATTACATGTAATATATAATTACATAATAATATATATAAATTACATATATAATTATATATTATATATCTATTATATATTTATATATAATTTATAGATACATAAAACATTACAGACACAGCTGTCTCGAGTCACTCAGTGATTGGCATGCCGTCCAAAAATCCATGGCGGAGAGAGACTAAGTCTCTTAAATGAGAAACGCACGCTATTCGTGGGATTTGAGAGAGAGTAAATGTTTTCTTTTGATATTATATATTTATACCATTAATGTGTAGACATGGTCTCCTGAAGGCTCTGCACAAGTCCATGCAATTCTGATAATATTTCAGGAAATGTTATCTCCCCACTGGGCCTGTCATGTGGGCACTCGCCTCTGTGGCAAGGGAGCCTGTGAAACTGTGGCCTCGTGCGTGGGGGGATTTAGGCACCTTTGCGTCTGCACTCAGGAGCCTGGTGTCCTCACAGTTGAGAGGTGGTGATGTGGGGAGGAGAAAAAGGGGAAGAAAACACAGCCCTGGGGGAGGTGACGGGGCAGAAAATGTGCGTGGGGCCTTGTGAGTCTCCGGGGTCTTTGTGAGTCTCTGGGGTCTCTGGTTTTCTGGGGTCTTCATGAGTTTCAGGGGTCTTTGTGAGTCTCTGGGTCCCTATGAGTCTCTGGGGTCTCTGTGGTTTTCCGGGGTCTTCATGAGATTCTGGGGTCTTCGTGAGTCTGTGGTTCCCTATGAGTCTCTGGAGTCTCTGTGGTTCCCTATGAGTCTCTGGAGTCTCTGTGGTTTTCCGGGGTCTTCGTAACTTTCTGGGGGTCTCTGAGGTTTTCCGGGGTCTTTCTGAGTCTCTGGAGTCTGACTCTGGTGGAGGTAAGAAGGGAACGGAGGTGGCCGTGAGTCCCGGTGGCCTATCTGCCCTGTGTGTGTATCACATGCTGGCTGCCCTGGGCGTCGTCTGGGGGTGTTTGGAGACTTCCAGGCTCTGTTGGATTCATGTGGACCCACCATGCTGAAACTTTCAGGGCTTCTCAGAGTCGTATGGCCTTGGTTAACGGTGATGACTGGCAGGGCCTTGGTTAACGGTGATGACTGACGGGGACTTGGTTAACGGTGACGACTGGCAGGGCCTTGTTTAACGGTGATGACTGGCAGGGCTTTGGTTAACGGTGATGACTGGCGGGGCCTTGGTTAACGTTGATGACTGGCGGGGCCTTGGTTGACGGTGATGACTGGCGGGGCCTTGGTTGACGGTGATGACTGGCGGGGCCTTGGTTGACGGTGATGACTGGCGGGGCCTTGGTTGACGGTGATGACTGGCGGGGCCTTGGTTGACGGTGATGACTGGCGGGGCCTTGGTTGACGGTGATGACTGGCGGGGCCTTGGTTGACGGTGATGACTGGCGGGGCCTTGGTTGACGGTGATGACTGGCGGGGCCTTGGTTGACGGTGATGACTGGCGGGGCCTTGGTTGACGGTGATGACTGGCGGGGCCTTGGTTGACGGTGATGACTGGCGGGGCCTTGGTTGACGGTGATGACTGGCAGGTGTCTGCTGTATTCAGGAGTGTGCAAGTGGTTGTTTATTGGAAATCAGTTCGAGGGGTCCCCGCACCCATGTTGGGGCTGCATCTGCCACTGTTGAGTTGGCCTTTGGTGAGGATGCCAGTGATGGACCTGGCTGTGGGAATCTTCTAACAACAAACCCTTTCTGGGCCCCTGCATCAGGTGGCATCACAAGAACACAAAGCGCTTGCTTGTGGGACACAGGATTGCTCGGCCGGCTCGTCTTCACGCATGAATCACCACAGCGAGATGTGTGCACGTTTCCTTCATGCCAAGGCAGAGGGAGCCATGGGGGTACCACGTGTTAGGGTGAGGGGTTGCTGGTGATGGATGATTCAGGAGCAAGAACAGCATCCAGCCCCGGCCACGGTGGAGCCTCAGACAAGGTGGCTGGAGAGGGGCGTGCACTGGATAGTGGAGGGAGGGTTGACGCCAGCCCAGTAAAAAGAGCTCAGGAGTGGGTTCCAGCCGCAGGATCAGCACAGCCATGTTACATCACCAAATAGTGGAGGGAGGGTTGATGCCAGCCATGTAAAGAGAGCCTGGGAGAGGGTTCCAGCCACAGGACCAGCACAGTCATGTTACGGAAATCCCTTTGGTGACAAGAAGTCACGGCACGTGTGGGCCAGAGCAGATGCCTTAGGGGTGGGCGTGTAAAACCACGAGCATCTTCAGAGGGACTTGAACTCTTGACTTAATTGATCCTGAACACGATCAATAACAGAGGCCCGAATGGTTTCTAGCCTGGCCGAGGCGTTTGCTGACTCTGTCTCATTTAATCCTTGGGCTGCTCCAGGAAATCGCCGCCTGCAACCCCGCTTGGCAGAGGAAGAAGCTGTCGCTCCCTGGGCTGGTGGGCTGCACTGAGGGGTTGGGGTCCCGGGGCCCAGGGCTGCCACCTCCTTCCCCAGTTTGCTCCTGTGCCCGAGGCCTGTCAGCGAGGCAGCCCCGGGACCACTCGCACCTGCTGTTGGGTTAATTACCCTTAATTAGGTTGCATCCCTCACCAGAGAGCAGGAAGTGGAGTGTGCTTCCTCCATCTGCAGGGCCTCTGAAGAGCACCGGCAGCTTCCTTCTTAGCAGAGGAGAAAATCTCTGCCATCTCGTGCTCGCCTACCTCGACTCGCCAGACGCCCTGGAGCAGAGGAGGAGCAGTGGTCGGCAGCGGCCAGCCGTGCAGGTGCCACACCTGATGGTCCACCTGGGAGAACCAGGCAGGAAGCCGGAAAGGTGCGGTCTCATGACATGAGGATGTGTTGAAGGAGGCCCACGGGTGCCCCGAATCCCAGTGTACAGGCTCATACTTTATCCTGAGATTTCGGAGTGATGATGTGTCATTGATTTACCTTCTTAACGCCACCTTTTCATATGTGATCCATTCTACAGAGAAAAAGTTCTTAAAAATTACAACCGTGGTGCCTGAAAATGAAAAGTATTCTGAAAGTGAAGACTCTACCACAGTTGTGATTAGTTAGGGCTGTGGAACTGTAGGGGTCTCATGTTGTGGGGATTAACCTTGTTCTGCCTGAAGGAGGAGATAGTGCTGGGAACAGGTTCCCCGCATTCTCACCAGCACCTGTGACTTTTGTCCTTTGATGAGAACAGTCACCCTAACATGGTTCTGGTCCGTGTTTCTCTGATGGTGGGAGATGCAGGGAGGGGGTAGCCATGCTGAGCGGGGGTCTGTGCCTGAGTGACAAGGTAGGAGCTTCCTGCCGGTGCACTATCTACTGAAGGGAGCCATTCTAGGAGGGTTTTCTATTGAAGGGAGCCATTCTAGGGTTTTTTTTTTTTTTACTGAAGGGAGCCATTCTAGGAGGGTTTTCTACTGAAGGGGGCCATTCTAGGATGGTTTTCTACTGAAGGGGGCCGTTCTAAGAGGGTTTTCTACTTAAGGGGGCCATTCTAGGAGGGTTTTCTACTGAAGGGGGTCATTCTAGGAGGGTTTTCTACTGAGAGGAGCCATTCTAGGAGGGTTTTCTACTGAAGGGGGCCATTCTAGGAGGGTTTTCTACTGAGGGGGACCATTCTAGGAGGGTTTTCTATTGAAGGGGGGCCATTCTAGGAGGGTTTTCTATTGAAGGAGGCCATTCTAGGAGTGTTTTCTATTGAAGGGAACCATTCTAGGAGGGTTTTCTATTGAAGGAGGCCATTCTAGGAGGTTTTCTACTGAAGGGAGCCATTCTAGGAGGATTTTGTATTGAAGGGAGCCATTCCAGGAGGGTTTTCTATTGAGGGGAGCCATTCTAGGAGGGTTTTGTATTGAAGGGAGCCATTCCAGGAGGGTTTTCTATTGAGGGGAGCCATTCTAGGAGGGTTTTCTATTGAAGGAGGCCATTCTAGGAGGTTTTCTACTGAAGGGAGCCATTCTAGGAGGATTTTGTATTGAAGGGAACCATTCTAGGAGGGTTTTCTATTGAAGGAGGGCATTCTAGGAGGGTTTTCTACTGAAGGAGGCCATTCTAGAAGGGTTTTCTATTGAGGGGGAGCCATTCCAGTAGGGTTTTCTATTGAGGGGAGCCATTCTAGGAGGGTTTTCTATTGAGGGGAGCCATTCTAGGAGGGTTTTCTATTGAAGGGAGCCACTCTAGGACGGTTTTCTACTGAAGGAGGCCATTCAAGGAGGGTTTTCTATTGAAGGGAGCCATTCTAGGACGGTTTTCTACTGAAGGAGGCCATTCTAGGAGGGTTTTCTATTGAAGGGAGCCATTCTAGGAGGGTTTTCTACTGAAGGGGGCCATTCTAGGAGGGTTTTCTGCTGAAGGAAGCCATTCTAGGAGGGTTTTCTATTGAAGGGAGCCATTCTAGGATGGTTTTCTATTGAAGGGAGCCATTCTAGGAGGGTTTTCTACTGAAGGAGGCCATTCTAGGAGGGTTTTCTATTGAAGAGAGCCATTCTAGGAGGGTTTTCTATTGAAGGGAGCCATTCTAGGAGGGTTTTCTATTGAAGGGAGCCATTCTAGGAGGGTGAGGTGCTTGTCACTTACTTGTGAGTGACACCTGTGATGAACTGTGTTCAAAAGCAAATTATCAAATGAGAATAGAACCATTTGGACTCTGTAGAGGATAAGACTCTAAGGGTTCTAGGAGCAGGATTGCTTCAACATCTCAGACGTATTTTCTTCTGGGAAGAGTCTTGCCAGATAAGCAGAGTGAGAGAGTCTATTAAACCGCACCTGTATACAGCATCTAGCAGGCAGCAGTGAGTGTACTGACAATGCATTTCCCATTCTAACAAAATGTGACTTTTGTGTGAGTTGCTCACCTGCGGGCGGTATCACACACGCATCAAAATAAAAATCAGTGGGGGTACTTAAAGCACCACAAAGTGGAGAGAGCAGAGGCTTTGCAGTGCACTGGTTCTGTGACTTTGCTCCAAGACTTGGTTTTCTCATCTGTAAAATGGAGACAATAGCTCACAGAGAGGCTGGAGGTGAGGGTGACTGAGTGCTTTCTAGATACTCATCACCACTCCAGGGCTGGGAGGCTGGGCTGGCACAGACCCCTTGCTGTTGCTGAGCCCCCGCACCCGGGCCTGCCTAGGCCTCAGATCCACTCACACAGAGGTCAGCGAAGGCTTCCAGAGGCGTCCAAAGGAAGCGTCTGTGCACCAGGTAGATCCTTGTCCTGTGTGGGTCTCATTTGGCCTGAGAAAAAGCCACAGCTCTTCACAGGGAGAGCCAGGGCCCCTCGCGTGGGAAGCTCGTGTGCTGTTATTTTCCAGCGGAATTCCAGGGTGGAAACACGGAGGCAGCTGACTATCGAGAATCCTAGGAGAATGGGCTTTCTGTGTGACGTGTGCCTGGAAGGGCTTCCTGAGGCTTTATTTCCCCTGCTCTTCCCTGCTCTGTCCCAGCAGAGCTGTTTTTGTAAAGCACACATAGTATTTGCCATTCGTCACATTTATTATGCCAGGGACTCTGTTCTCCATCCCCCTCTGTGAGTTACGGCCCATCCTATGCTGTGTTTCCACACCCATGTTGCATTTGGCAGGAGCCTTCCTGACACCGAACCACCCTAAGCTGACAAATGTCTATAGCTCGGGGAGCACGAGAGGGAGCTCACGAGATGGCAGACAGACCAGGATGTGCACAGAACGTAACCCTGGGTTGTGGACTCAGCTTTCCTTCCTGAAGCGCCTGAAGCAAATAGAGAATAGTCGTAGTTGAGCCTGAGTTTCCAGAGGGGCAGAAAACCAACTTGCGTGTTTTCTTTTTATTGTTGCTTTTTTGAAAAAATGGTCCTAATTTCAGCTTGTTTTTCCAACCATGTGAAAGGATGGACTGGACGCTGCGCAGAAGTGGAGATCTTAGGTAAGAAGAAAGGATAGGAAGGTTGATGGGAAATGAATTGGCTGTCACTGTCCTTCCTGTCCAGATGCATTTGGAGGCTTTCTGGAGAATGGTTTCCAAACTCAGTATGTGCTGAATGTTTCCCCAATCTATGGGGAAATGAAAAGAAGACAGTGCAGTCAATTTCTGAAAGTTAACCACTTTCAGCATTAATAGAACAAACGAAACCCTGGGAGCAGCCTTCATGCTTGTTTGACGTTGCAGGGCGGCCTGTGATTGAAGCCGTCATGTAAGATGATGCTGTGAGATGTGAGTGAGTGCACGTGCCTGTGATGTGCGCTGGGTCTGTGAAGTGTGCACGTGCCTGTGACGTGTGCTGGGTCTGTGAGGTGTGAATGTGTCTATGAGGTGTGCATGTGCCTATGAAGTGTGCTGGGTCTGTGAGGTGTGCACGGGTCTGTGAGATGTGCATGGGTCTGTGAGGTGTGCACGTGCCTATGATGTGTGCACGTGCCTATGAAGTGTGCTGGGTCTGTGAGGTGTGCACGGGTCTGTGAGGTGTGCATGGGTCTGTGAGGTGTGCACGTGCCTATAATGTGTGCACGTGCCTATGAAGTGTGCTGGGTCTGTGAGGTGTGCACGTGCCTATGAAGTGTGCTGGGTCTGTGAGGTGTGAATGTGTCTATGAGGTGTGCATGTGCCTATGAAGTGTGCTGGGTCTGTGAGGTGTGCACGGGTCTGTGAGATGTGCATGGGTCTGTGAGGTGTGCACGTGCCTATGAAGTGTGCTGGATCTGTGAGGTGTGCATAGGTCTGTGACGTGCTGGGTCTGTGAGGTGTGTACGGGTCTGTGAGGTGTGCACATGCCTATGAAGTGTGCTGGGTCTGTGAGGTGTGAATGTGTCTATGAGGTGTGCATGTGCCTATGAAGTGTGCTGGGTCTGTGAGGTGTGCACGGGTCTGTGAGGTGTGCACGGGTCTGTGAGGTGTGCACGTGCCTATGAGGTGTGCTGGATCTGTGAGGTGTGCACGGGTCTGTGAGGTGTGCATGGGTCTGTGAGGTGTGCACGTGCCTATGAAGTGTGCTGGATCTGTGAGGTGTGCACGGGTCTGTGAGGTGTGCATGGGTCTGTGAGGTGTGCACGTGCCTATGAAGTGTGCTGGATCTGTGAGGTGTGCACGGGTCTGTGAGGTGTGCATGGGTCTGTGAGGTGTGCACGTGCCTATGAAGTGTGCTGGATCTGTGAGGTGTGCACGGGTCTGTGAGGTGTGCATGGGTCTGTGAGGTGTGCACGTGCCTATGAAGTGTGCTGGATCTGTGAGGTGTGCATAGGTCTGTGACGTGCTGGGTCTGTGAGGTGTGTACGGGTCTGTGAGGTGTGCATGGGTCTGTGACATGTGCTGGGTCTGTGAGGTGTGCACGGGTCTGTGAGGTGTGCACGTGCCTATGAAGTGTGCTGGGTCTGTGATGTGTGCACAGGTCTGTGAGGTGTGCACGGGTCTGTGAGGTGTGCATGGGTCTGTGAGGTGTGCACGTGCCTATGAAGTGTGCTGGATCTGTGAGGTGTGCATAGGTCTGTGACGTGCTGGGTCTGTGAGGTGTGTACGGGTCTGTGAGGTGTGCATGGGTCTGTGACATGTGCTGGGTCTGTGAGGTGTGCACGGGTCTGTGAGGTGTGCACGTGCCTATGAAGTGTGCTGGGTCTGTGATGTGTGCACAGGTCTGTGAGGTGTGCACGGGTCTGTGAGGTGTGCATGGGTCTGTGAGGTGTGCACGTGCCTATGAAGTGTGCTGGATCTGTGAGGTGTGCATAGGTCTGTGACGTGCTGGGTCTGTGAGGTGTGTACGGGTCTGTGAGGTGTGCATGGGTCTGTGACATGTGCTGGGTCTGTGAGGTGTGCACGTGCCTATGAAGTGTGCTGGGTCTGTGATGTGTGCACAGGTCTGTGAGGTGTGCACGGGTCTGTGAGGTGTGCATGGGTCTGTGAGGTGTGCACGTGCCTGTGATGTGTACTGTATCTGTGAGGTGTGCACGGGTCTGTGAGGTGTGCATGGGTCTGTGACATGTGCTGGATCTGTGAGGTGTGCATGGGTCTGTGACGTGTGCTGGATCTGTGAGGTGTGCACGGGTCTGTGACATGTGCTGGATCTGTGAGGTGTGCACGGGTCTGTGACATGTGCTGGGTCTGTGAGGTGTGCACGGGTCTGTGACATGTGCTGGGTCTGGGTCTGTGATGTGTGCATGTGCTTATGGAGTATGCTGGATCTGTGAGGTGTGCATGGGTCTGAGAGGTGTGCATGGGTCTGTGACACGTGCTGGGTCTGTGGGGTGTGCATGGGTCTGTGACATGTGCTCGGTCTGTGATGTGTGCACGTGCCTGTGAAGTGTGCTGGGTCTGTGAGGTGTGCATAGGGTGGGTGAGGTGTGCACGTGCCTGTGAAGTGTGCATGGGTCTTCAGTGTGTCTGCATCTGGCATGTGAGAGATCCAGCAGTGCCATACTGTCCCTGAAATTAGGGGAAAACAATGAGAAACCCAAACATCTGCAAGTAACTGCTTTCCATTTTCAGGGAAGATTTATAGCCTTTTTTTTTTTTTTTTTTGAGAGACATTGAGTGTCCCGCAGCCCTGCAGTGGCACTGTTTTTACAGACCCTCTCTCTCACATACAGCTTTCTATATTCACCCTGCACAGCCCTGACCCCCGGGACCCCACACACCCTCTGTGCCTGGTGCAGGGCTCAGCTACCCCTGTCTGTGGGGCCCTTCCCTGTGGATGGTGCTTTTGGGGGTTTGGGGTCAGGGAGTGTGAGGGTTGGTTCCTTGGCTGGGTAAGTCAGATGCATCTGCCAGCCGAAGGTCACACGTGGGTTTGAGCAGCCTCTCCTTGTGCTTGCTGGAACACATGCTCCACACCCGTGTGCCACCTGCACGCCACAGTGCCCGACTCCGGGGCTGCTTTCTGCCCGGGCCTTCCTCCGCCTTACCAAGCCCAGAACATCACTGATGGCAGGGCTGGAAATGCAAAGATGGCCAAGCTACAGAAAATAAATTAAATACAAAGAAAACATGGAGAGAGGTGGCTTAGTGTCCGACTTGCCTAGTTTCCTGTTGGCGCTCCCAGAGTGATGGCAGAAATCGTCTTCCCTCAGCTCCCGGAAGACCCAGCACTGTGTGTGCTGAAGGCTGTGGATTTTCAGGCCAGACTCCCTGGGTTCACGTTCCAGTCCCCATTTTCTGTGTGACCTTGGGCGTGTTTCTTTTTTTTTTCTTTTTTAACTTTTATTTTTGGTTCCGCGGTACATGTGAAGGCTTCTTACTTAGGTTAACTCATGTCACAGAGATGTATTGTATAGGTTATTTCATCACCCAGGTTTAATTAAGCCCGCTACTCAATAGTTATATTTCATGGTCCCCTCCCCGCTCCCATATGCCACCCTCCGATAGACCCCAGAGTGTGTTCTTCCCCTCTGTGTGTCCATGTGTTCTCATTATTTAGATCCCACTTGTAAGTGAGAACATGCAGTATTTGTTTTTCTCTTCCTGGGTTAGTTTGCTAAAGATAATGGCCTCCAGCTCCATCCATGTTCCTGCAGAGGTCATGGGTCTTATTCTTTTTATGGCTGTATAGTATTCCATGGTATAGATGTACCACATTCTCTATATTCAGTCTGTCATTGCTGGGCATTTAAGTTGATTCCATGTCTTTGCTTTTGTGAATAGTGCTGCAGTGAGCATTCACGTGCATGTGTCTTTATGGTAGAATGATTTATATTCCTCTGGATATATACCCGCTAATAGAATTGCTGGGTTGAATGGCAGTTCTGCTTGTAACTCTTTGAGGAATCACCACACACTGCTTTCCACAGGGGTTGAACTACTTTACACTCCCACCGACAGTGTATAAGTGTTCCTTTTTCTCCACAACCTCACCAGCATCCGTTATTTTTTGACTTTTTAATGATGGCCATTCTGACTGGTGTGTGATGATATCTCATTGGGGTTTTGCTTTGCATTTCTCTAATGATAAATGATATTTAAGTTTTTTCATATGCTTCTTGGCCACATGTATGTCTTCTTTTAAAAAGTGTGTTCATGTCCTTTGCCCATTTTTTTTTTTTTTTTTTTTTGAGACAGAGTTTTGCTCTGTTGCCCAGGCTGAAGTGCAGTGGTGTGATCTTGGCTCACTGCAAGCTCCGCCTCCCCGGTTCATGCCATACTCCTGACTCAGCCTCCCGATTAGCTGGGACTACAGGCATCCACCACTACACCCGGCTAATTTTTTGTATTTTTATTAGAGACATGGTTTCACCATGTTAGCCAGGATGGTCTCGATCTCCTCACCTCATGATTCACCTGCCTCAGCCTTACAAAGTGCTGGGATTGCAGGCGTGAGCCACCGCGCCCGGGCGTCCTTTGCCCACTTTTTAATAGGGTTGTTTTTCTCTTGTAAATTTGTTTAAGTTCCTTATAGATACTGGATATGAGACCTTTGTCAGATGCGTAGTTTGCAAATATTTTCTCCCATTCTAGTAGTTTGTCTGTTCGCTCTGATGATAGTTTCTTTTGCTCTACAGAGGTTCTTAAGTTTAATTGGATCCCATTTGTCAATTTCCCCTTTTGTTGCAGAAATTGCATGAATCATGAAATCTTTGCTCATTCAGGATGATATTGCCTAGGTTGTCTCCCAGGGTTTTTATAATTTTGGGTTTTACATTTAAGTCTTTAATCCATCTAGAGTTGCTTTTTGTACATGGCATAAGGAAGGGGTCCAGCTTCAATCTTCTACGTATGACTAGCCGGTTATCCCAGCACCCTTTGTTGACTAGGGAGTCTTTTCCCCATTAATTATTTTTGTCAGCTTTGTCTAAGATCAGATGGTTGCAGGTGTGTAACCTTATTTTTGGGCTGTCTATTCGGTTCCATTGGTCTGTGTGTCTGTTTTTGTACCACTGTCATGCTGTTTGTTACTGTAGCCCTGTAGTATCATTCAAAGTTGGATAATATGATGCCTCCAGCTTTGTTCTTTTTGCTTATGATGGCCTTGGATATTTGGGCTTTTTTTTGGTTCCATATGAATTTTACAATAGTTTTTTTCTAGTTCTGTAAAGAGTGTCATTGGTATTTTGATAGGAATAGCAATGAATCTATAAATTGCTTTGGGCAGTATGGCCATTTTAATTAAGTTGATGCTTTCTATCCATGAGCCTGGAATATTTTTCCATTTGTGCATTCTCAGATTTCTTTGAGGAGCATTTGGTAATTCTCATTGAAGAGATCTTTAACCTCCCTTGTCAGCTGCATTCCTAGGTATTTTATTCTTTTTGTGGCAGTTGTGAATGTAATTACCTTCCTGATTTAGCTCTCAGCTTGGCTGTTTTTGGTGTGTAAGAATGCTAGTGATTTTTGTACATTGATTTTGTATCCTGCAACTCTGGTTAAGTTGTTTATCAGCTGAGAGAGCTTTTGAGCCAAGACTGGGGTTTTCTAGATATAGAATCTTGTCATCTACAAACAGGGGTACTTTGACTTCCTCTCTTTCTGCTTGGATGCCCTTTATTTTTTCTATTGCCTGATTGCCCTGGCCAGAACTTCCAATACTATGTTGAATGGGACTAGTGAGAGTCGGCGTCCTTGTCTTGTGCTAGTTTTCAAGGGGAATTCTTCCAGCTTTTACCTATGCAGTATGATGCTGGCTGTGGGGATGTCATAGATGGCTCTTAATATTTTGAGGTATGTTCCTTCAATACCTAGTATATTGAGAATTTTTAACATGAAGAGGTATTGGATTTTATTAAAAGCCTTTTCTGCATCTATTGAGACAATCATATGGTTTTTGTCTTTAGTTCTGTTTATGTGATGAATCACATTGATTGATTTGTGTATGTTGAACCAACCTTGCATCCAGGAGATGAAGCCTACTTGATTGTGGTGGATTAGCTTTTTGATATGCTGTTGGATTTGGTTTGCAAGAATTTTGCTGAGGATTTTTTTCATCGATGTTCATCAAGGATATTGGCCTGAAGTTTTCTTTTTTTGTTGTGTCTCTGCCAGGTTTTGGTATTAGGATGACGCTGGCCTCATAGAATGAGTTGGGGAGGAGTCCCTCCTTTTCAGTTTTTTTTAATAGGTTCAGTAGAAATAGTACCAGCTCTGCTTTATACATCTGGTAGAGTTCAGCTGTAAATTCATCTGTCCTGGGCTTTTTTTTGGTTGATAAACTATTCATTACTGATTCAATTTCAGAGCTTGTTATTGGTCTGCTCAAGGAATCAGCTTCTTCCTGGTTCAGTCTTGGGAGGGTGTAAGTGTCCAGGAATTTATCCATCTCTTCTAGGTTTTCTAGATTGTGTGCATAGAGGTGTTCATAGTAGTTTTTGGTGGTTATTTTTATTTCTGTGGGGTCAGTGGTAACATTCTCTTTGTCATTTCTAATTGTATTTATTTGGGCCTCCTCTCTTTTCTTCTTTATTATTCCAGCTAGCAGCCTATCTTACTAATTTTTTTTTTCAAAAAATGAACTCCTAGATTCATTGATTTTTTTCAATGGTTTTTCGTGTCTTGATTTTCTTCAGCTCTGATTTTGGTTATTTCTTGTCTTCTGCTAGCTTTGGAGTTGATTTGTTCTTGCTTCTCCAATTCTTTTAATTGTGATGTTAGGTAGTTAATTTGAGATCTTTCCAACTTTTTGATGTGGCATTTAGTGCTACGAATTTTCCTGTTAACACTGCCTTAGCTGTGTCCCAGAGATTCTGGTATGTTCTTTCTTTGTTCTTATCAGTTTCAAAGAACTTCTTGATTTCTGCCTTAATTTCATTATTTACCCAAAGTCATTCAGGAGGATGTTGTGTAATTTCCATGTAATTTCATGGTTTTGAGTGATTTTCTGAGTCTTAACTTCTACTTTTATTGTGCTGTGGTCCAAGATTGTATTTGGCATGGTTTCAGTTCTTTAGCATTTGCCTGAGGATTATGTTCAATTATGTGGTCTGTTTTAGAGTGTGTGCCATGTGGCAATAAGAAGAATGTGCATTCTGTTGTTTTGGGGTAGAGTGTTCTATAGAGGTCTGTCATATGCATTTGGTCCAATGTGGAGTTCAGATCCTGAATATCTTCATTAATTCTCTCTCAGTGATCTGTCTAACACTGTCAGTGGAATGTTGACGTCTTCCACTATTATTGTGTGGGAGTCTTTTTCTCTTTGAAGGTCTCTAAGCCCTGCTTTATGAATCTGGGTGCTCCTGTGTTGGATGCATATATATTTAGAATAGTTAGGCCTTCTTGTTGAATTGAACCCTTTACTGGGCATGTTTCTTAACCACGGGGAATAACTTTTCATCTGAAAATTGGAGTAGTAATAACTACTTTATAAAAATATTGTGAAGATTCTGAGTTTGTGTATGTAAAGTGCCTAAGACAGTGCCTACCACACCATAGATGCTGTAGAAATTTAAATGATCTAAATACAGTGGTGGCATCTTTAGGGATCCTTCTTGTAGGCAGTGGTAAAATCAAACAATTCAGAGGACGGAGGTGTAGCTGTGAAGTGTCTGTGCTGCCAGGGATCCCCAGTGCTGAGACCACTGGCTATGTAGAGTTACAGCTGGTGCTTTGGCATGAGAATTCACATCAGCGGTCAGCCACACTCATTTTAAGGCACAAATGACAGTTTTCGAATTTGTTGAGATGATCTCATTTGGGCTCTTCTTCTAGTCAGTCATTTATCCCTGCCACACACAGGGGACTGTGCCAGGTGTATGGAACGTTGTTGTCCTTTGCTCAGTGATGGGACATAATGGGCCTGGAATCTTCTAGAAGGCATGAGAGCATCACTCATAGACATCAGTGCCCAGGAAACGATCCCAGCAGACAGCACCGTGGGAGCCATTCACTCCGTCAGACGTGGCCAGTGACAGTCACTTGGGAGGACTTTCCAGGGGTTCTTGGAAAGCTGGGGGTGTGGGCCTGGTGGGTGTCTGTGGTTTTGGAGATCTTGGCCTTGATGCGGTACGCAATCCCATCCCCATGGGGTGCGCAGGCGTCAGCTGGGGACACCCGCACTGGCCTTCCGTGTGAGAAGGGAGCAGGCCCTCCCCGTTCATCTGGGTCCTGACATGCTCTTGGGTTTTCTGTATTGTCAAGTGACTAAGGGTTACCGACCACCCTCCAAAGCACCAGCTGTGTCTCAGCCACAGCCTGGACGAAGAGTGAGCGGTTGATGCCCGGAAGACTTGGGGTCAGAAAACCTGGGTTTGGATTTAAATTCTACAATTTGGTGCTAGATAACCTTACAAGAGGCATTGAGGGTTTTCTTATTTCTTCAGTTTCTTTATCTGTAAAGTGGGGGTGACAATATTCACCTCACATTGAGAATGGGGCAGATAATATATTTGAAAATATCCAGTAATTACAATCCCTGCACTTAGGGAGGCCAATGTGAGTGAATTGCCTGACCCCAGGCATTTGAGACCAGCCTGGGCAACTTGGCAAAACCCCATCTCTACAAAAAAATAAAAACAGTTAGCCACACGTGGTGGCATGCCTGTAGTCCCAGCTAACTCAGGAGGCTCTCAGAGGTGGAAGGATTGCCTGAGTTCAGGAGGTCAAGGCTACAGTGAGCTGTGATTGTGCCACTGCACTCCAGCCTAGGTGACAGGGCAAAACCCTGTCTCAAAAAAAAGAGAAAAAAAAAGAGAATATTCATTACTGTATCTGGAACACGAAGAACTGAATAAAAATTAGTTGACTCTGAGTCTGAACACAGTTGATGGGAAGACAGAAACCAAAGCAAAACCTCTTCCGCAGCCAACAGCTACTGGCTTCCTCTGCGGAAGGGAGATCCCAGGATCGCTTCTGCCAAAAGAAAGCTGAAAAATAAACCCGATGTGCAGTCCTCAGATGAACCCTGTGCTTCTCTGCAGGATCCCAAAGCTTTATGGGTTTTTAAAATTTGCTACAGCAATTTCATCTCCTTGGGACCCAGCATCAAGAAGAGGTTTTGGAAAACCCAACACCGTCTCTTTGACCTGTCTTGGAAAACCCAACACCGTCTGTTTGACCTGTCTTCTTGAGGTGAGCCTGTGGACAAAGCACAGTGCCGAGCTAGTGCCTCGGGGCTGTGCCCTCTCTGAGGCTGATGGCACAACCCTGGGCAGGTGTGCAGACAGATCCCACCACTCAGAGGTGCCACACTGGGGACGCCACGCTGGGGATGCGGTGACGATGCACGGTCTTCTTTGAGCCAAGAAATTGAAGCCAAAGGTTAGAAATGTGTAGTGGGTTATGGGTGATCAAGTGTCAGATTCACAGAGAAGAAACAGGCTCACGGTGGGAAGATGCTTAGAAATGAGGACTGAGGGTGGGGTGGACGCTGTGTAGGACAAGCCTGAACCAAGACGGCCTTTTCATTCCTGACCGTCAGATTCAGAGAGAAGAAACAGGCTCATGGTGGGAAGATGCTTAGAAATCAGGACTGAGGGTGGGATGGACGCTGAGTAGAGCAAGTCTGAACTGAGATGGCCTTTTCATTCTTACCCTGTGGTTGCCGGAGTGAGGGGAGGGCAGTAGAGAGGAGGGGGAGGCGGCTGTTCTCCAGACCAGGACTCTTTGTAAGACACCCCCAGGGGGCTCCCCCAGGAGAGCAGGCACACAGAATCACCTGCGCATTCTTGACACTCACTTGGGCTCAGAGCCTCCCCCTTTCACAGTGGGCAGCACTGGTTCACAGTTAGGCTTTTGAAAGTTTTTTTTTTTCCTTTAAGAAAATCAGACAAAAGTATCAGCAATTCAAACATGGAAAAAGCATTTTAAAATAAAAGTTAATGAGTAGATACCGTTTTCCAGATGGAATAGTTCCAATGAAATTATAAAGCAAATTCGTTAATATTGATATGCTTTCAAAAGTTGTATAGATTCATTTGGTCTTAAGTGGTTTTGACCTGAATGCTGTACCTCAGCTCCCAAAAGCATTGCATGTCAGTTGACAGAGGAGCGGGCGGAGTGGGGAAATTAACCGCAGTTCAGAAAGTGCTTTAATGGCTTTTTCTAAAATGCATTCATTACACTTTAAATAGGCCATGTCTGGAGATTCTGAAGTCCCTTATGTAAGTAGGATGTGAGCTCGGGGGAACTTCTTCAGCTTCACTCTGGTGCTGATTCCAGCATCTGCAGCTCTTGACCCCGTAGTGTGTGAGCAGAGACTGAGAAACTTTCGAAACTGCATTACATTGTCTTTGTTCAGTTCCTTACGTGACTGAGGACAGTGAAAAGAGCCCACCTGGTGTAAAGTGCTCATTTTAGCTGCCAAGAAAAGCCTAATTTATTTTCAGGGCAAAACTTCTGCACTGGGACAAATGTCTTCATTATAATCCAAAAGCAGCATCAGGAAAAGAAGCTAAACTGTGCGAATAGAAATGAATGGGGCTGCTGCTGCTGCTGCTGCTTTCTTTTTAATCAGTAGAAATGGAATTCTGCCTCCCAAACAGAAGTCTAGGAGGAACTGCAGACGGCCCCTGTACTGAGGGCATTTTGTCAGTGCTTAGAGCAACCTTCAAGATCATGACACTCTGCTATGAGGACCGAAAGAACTTGGAGATAAATATACATGTACTATGTGGTGGGACCGTTTTTGAATCTGAACTAAATTAAATGATGGAAAACGACCTTGGGTGAGTTCTTCATGGCTGTACTTCCTGGAATGATACAATTTTTCAAAATAATTTGTTTCCTCGAAATGACACCAACACCTATAGTTAAGTTTAAATTTATGGGACTAGGTGAGTGTTATTTTGTGAGACATAGCATTATGCTTACATAGAATAATTTATCGTTTGATGTTCAATATCATTTTATTTAAGCATAACTGTGGAGAACCATTCAAGTGACTGTATAATTACTTCATATAAATACTTAATAGACAACTTTACCATTAACTATTTTCCTACTACTTTATAACCGATTCTATTTTCAATTGATAAGTGATTTTTTCCCATTTAAGTACTGATTTGCAGTTTGGCCCATATTATTTTGCACTGAGATGGCATAAATGCCACATCCTTCCCGCACTTAAGGCATGCAATTTGCAGAATAAGACGTAAATTTTAAGTAGGTTTGGAATCTTTTGTAGGACTACTTTTATTTCAGCCTTTGACATAATATAAGCTTGTTAATTCATCTGCAAAATATTTTAGTGTCCAGCGTGTTTAGCTAGAAAGAAGCTCCAGTTGCCTCCCCATGCTCTTACATGGGAGGCTGACTGTGCATCTACTGCAGTGCGTCATGTGAGTGCTGGTTTTATTCCATGACACCAAGAACATTGCTTAACTTCTGTACTCATCAGTTCATAAATGAGCACAAGGCCCATTGCTTCTCGCAGTTCAGCCCTGCTGCTCTTCTTCAGCAGATCGGGGTAGCAGGGGCAGTAGCTGAGAGATGCTGAGCAGCCTGAGGCTTCTGGGTGCCGTGCCTGGAACTGGTCCCACCACAGCACACACGCTGTTTCCTCATGTGAACAGCTGAGCTTCAAGTGATGGCATGTGTGAGAGGCTTCGCCACTCAACTTTGAATTTAAGTATCCCCAGGGACTGTCAAACTTTTTATATCCAATGGGGAATTTCACCTTGAAGTTGGACCACAGCTGCCTCTAGAGTTGGTACAAGTTGTGAGAGTCACAGTTGACCCTACCTTGACTTAGGAGAGTGGTTGGCACCATGATTTTAAATAAAATACAGTGAATGGGGTCCAGCACCCTAGCTTATTCTGCTTTAGGGACTTCTCACTAGAAAGGTTTCCTTGTAGTTGGGAAGACCCTTTCTGGAAGGCTGCTATAGGAAATGGCTAAGATGAAAAGTGGGACTCAGCACTTTTAGGGCTGGGCTGAAAAATGAGTCTGCTGGCAAAACCCTGTGTCAGGCAGCAACTTATAACAAAAACAGGAAAATCCCTACTACATCTTAGCTAAGTTGGAAATTCAAACATCTTTGCAGGTCCCATTTCACCACCGTTGGGTCTGTGGACGTAACCCTACTGAGAGTTAGGCTAAGGGTTCAGCCCCTTCATTTATGGGAGGAGGAAGAGAGCCATCCTCCATGCAGCTGCTTCTGTGGCTCACACCCAGACACGGAGGGGTCAAGCAGCAGTCAGGGCCAAGGCCTGAGAAGCTCAAATCACACTCATTAGGCATCTTCGTTCCAGCCAACATGCGTCCGAATGAGAACAATACGAAGGGGCACCCCTTCAGAATTTGTGAACACTAACCCTAGTCCTTCAGATACCATGACAGCTATGCTGGTATCTTAAGAATCCATGACTGTCCATTCTAGACCCTTCAGAAACCATAACCACCTTTCTGCTACTTTCATAGCCCACAGCCACCCATCCTTCGGAACCCACAGCTACCCAGCTGCCCATCTTCATCCCCTCAGAACCGATGACCACCCATCCTTGTCCATTAGGACCCATGACCACCCATCCTTGCCCATTAGGACCCATGACCACCCATCCTCATTCCTTCAGAACTCATGACTATAAACCCTAGTCCTTTGGATGCCATGATGCCTATCCTGGTATCTTTAGAATCCGTTACCGCCCATTCTAGACTTTGCAGAACCCATGAACACCCATCCTAATTTATTTAGAAACTAGTCATTCTAGTCCCATCCTAGTCCCTTCAGAACCCCTCGTCTCCCATCCTCGTCCAGTTAGAACCCATGACCACCCATCCTTGTCCCTTCAGAACCCGTGACCACCCATCGTCATTCCTTCAGATCCCATGACCTCCCATCCTCATCCAGTTAGAACCCATGACCTGCCATCCTTATCCCTTTAGAAACCCTGACCACCCATCCTCGTCCCTTCAGAACCCAAGACCTCCCATCCTTATCCCTTTAGAACCCCTGGCCACGCATCCTTGTCCCTTCAGAACCCATGACCTCCCATCCTTATCCCTTTAGAACCCCTGATCACCCATCCTCATTCCTTCAGACCCCATGACCTCCCATCCTCGTCCAGTTAGAAGCCATGACCACCCATCCTCATCCAGTTAGATCCCATGACCACCCGTCCTCCCCTTTGGAACCCATGACCTCCCATCCTTGTCCAGTTAGAACCCATGAACACCCATCCTCGTCCCTTCAGAACCCATGACCTCCCATCCTCGTCCAGTTAGAAGCCATGGCCACCCATCCTCGTCCCTTCAGAACCCATGACCACCCATCCTCGCCCAGTTAGAACCCATGACCTGCCATCCTTATCCCTTTAGAAACCCTGACCACCCATCCTCTTCCCTTCAGAACCCCTGACCACCCATCCTCATCCCTTCAGAACACATGACCTCCCATCCTCATCTCTCTAGAACCCATGACCTCCCATCCTTGTTCCTCCAGAATCCATTACCACCTATCCTTGTTCCTTCAGAACTCATGACCACCCATCTTCTTCCCATTAGAACCCATGACCTCCCATCCTCTTTCCTTCAGAACCCATGACTACCCATCTTCATCCCTTCAGAACCCCTGATCACCCATCCTCATGTCTTCAGAACCCCTGACCACCCAACCTCATCTTTCCTGAACCCATGACCACCCATCCTTGTCCCTTTAGAACCCACAACCACCCGTCTTCATCTTTCCTGAACCCATGACCACCCATCCTTGTCTCCTTAGAACCCGTGGCCTCTCATCCTCATTCCTTTAGAATTCATGACAACACATCCTTGTCTCTTCAGAACTTATAACCTTCTATCCTTGTTCCTTTAGCATCCATGAGCATCTGTCCTATTTTGGCCATTTGCTCAGAATTTCATTTAATGGGAGACAGACCCTCCTAGGTATTGAGTGCTTCTTTCTCATGGTGTTGCCCCAACCCATACAGAATTTCATTTAATGGGAGACAGACCTTCCTAGGGATTGAGTGCATTTGCCCCTCGTGGTAATGCCCCAAGCCATTGAGCCAGAGATTGCACTCCCTTAGGTGAACTTTGAGCCAGATGTGGACTGGTGTTACTACGGTTACCATCAGGTTCCGGTCTTGTTTATGGCTTTAGGGATCATTCGGTTCCACAGCAGACTCTCATTTCATGGAAGAATGAAATGGGACATCACTGGGTGACCCTGTTTCTCCTCTTCTGTCCATGGAGACAGAGTTTTCATGACACGCACAGGTTTTGCCAGTTGGATCCTCTGGTCAGGACTGAAAGAACCTCTGAGTCACTGGTGACACATGAGATTCTAAATGGCTTTCCCTAGGATGGGCTGATCTTTACCAATGGGCTGTTTAAATGTGCAGCTGAGGAGGATTCCTGGGAGCTCTGTTACTGCCATCCAGAGCTGAGGGGAACGTAGAGAAAGATCACATTTTTGATCCCACAATAGGTTGAATCGCATTTAAGAAAATCCTTTTTCTTTTATCATAAACTGTTTTGTCATAGTAAACTTGTTTCCCTTTGGTGATTTATGTACATTTTTCCTGCTTACTATGTGTAGGTCTCTCAAAAATACATATTGGTTTTTATAACAAGGTAGAACTGATACTTCTCTTTGAAGAATTATTTTTTAGTTGATAAAGTAGAAGCTATACTCCCTTTCTTCCTCCCTCTTTCCCTCTCATTTCCTCCCTCCCTTCATCTTCTTTTTTCTTTTTTTTTTCTTTTCTGGAAGCTGTCTTTTTAAGTTTGATTCAGTCTTGAAAATACCATTTCTCTCATTTCTCCTGACCAGTAGCTCCCCTCGTATTTGATGGTGAAGATTTGTTAGGCTCTAAATGGAATCATAGGAGCTCTGGGAAGAGTGTGATACCAGCTCTTAAGAACCTCACACAACAGGAGCTTTGGCTTAGGTCCGCCAGATAGAGGGTGATCAGGAGATACAGTTAAACTCAGCATAATTCTATGCCTTCAAATCTTTTATACAAACTGGGTTGGGGGCACTAAATATTCAAATGTATTTGAAAATAACTATGCAAATCTTTCTGTCAAAATATCTCACATTTCAGAGAATAAGTTTCGCTCAGAAGCTTGGAATGATCGCCTTTGACAATTTTGTGAATTATGAACCAAAAGGCTTCCCCATTAATCAACTTTTATAGAAATTTTAGTTACTAATGGCTTTTGCATTCTAAAATGTAAAGCAAAGAATAATGAAAAATGTTTTTTATTACTATAAACTCACATGGTGGTTCTTTTATGTTTCACTTCTCAGTTCCCATGAGGCGGGTGATAATATTTAAATTTGCTCAAGTAACACCTGAGGCTTAGTAGGTACAGCCTCCACCCGGTCAGAATGAGACACCAGGACCTAGTGAGTCCATGCCCATTGTTTTCCAGTAAACAAGGAGGTTCCTCATAGTATTTTCCAAGCACACATATCATGGAAAGATGCCTGTTAGCTTTGGAGACTCTAAAAGGAAAAATCATTACAGTGTCAGATGTTTGGTCTAAAACCTGGAAAAGTGATACATTATAAACCTGAGAAGGCCATTCAAATAATGTGTAATTTATCTTTCCTTTATTCCTAAGGGAAAAAAAGAAATAGTTCTATGCACAACCTCTTTTTCTCTTTTTTTCTCTATGTACAACCTCTTTTTCTCCTCCTCCAGTTCCTAGGTGTCTCTCCCTGCCTTTCTCTCACCACCTTCCTGACTCCCTTTAGGAATAAAACTTCAGCACTTTGTACATTTTTCAATATTAATTAATAATGTCAAGGATTAACCTCACCTTTTCCTCAGTATTCTTTCCTGTTTGCCTAAAAATTATTTTATTTTTCAGAAGAATTTTCTTTCTTCTGAAACAAAGAACATGGTCTAATTGACAGCATGCATTCAGGTTGCTCCCCAGAGCAGGCAGTGACCTTCTTTTCCTTGCCTGTTTTTGGAGGAAGTGAGAGCGTGGTATTCTTAAAAAAAATTCAGCCCTTCATTTTCCCTGTATGCAGACCAAACAGCACTGTCCTGGCACCGTGAATGTTTCTCATGCATATCGTTTCCCCAGAGTTTAACGCCAATAAAAATGTCAGGTGCTAATCTAAATGCTGTCTGTGTATTGACTGATTCAATTCTCATAGCATACATAGAACATAGTCCTTGGTTTCCATTCTGAAGACAGAAACTGAGTCAGCAGGGAGAGGACCATGGGCTAAGGAACTCGCCAAAGAGAAGAGCCTGGAAGCGGCTCCAGGGTTTCTGCTTCCAGAAGGGTTTCCACTTCCAGAAGGGTTACCTGTGGCCCAGACTCCTCTCTCAGGGACCTCAGAGCTGAGTCCAGGGCCCAGAACGTTGCTGCCAAGGGCTTCTCCTCAGACTGTATGTTTGAGAAGCTGGGCCACTTAAGTAAGCTACATTTAGCCACCATGACTTGGCTAATGTTTTCCTATGTTTCTATTTTTATTACTCATCAAATATACTTTTCTGTTTGTTTTCTACCATTCATGATATGTAATTGTGAATTGAATATTCTCACCATTTTATAATCTAGCTGTGTTCCTGCACTAAGCTGCTTAAGAAAGCCAAGCAGCTGAAAACAGGAAACCTGCATTTTAGCTAATCTGTGTTTTTGATCCTAAGCAAACATATGATTTTCACTATCTTTTGAAATACAGATAATAACCATCAGTGTCATTGCTGTCATCTGAAATGCCACACACAGCCCCCGTGTGGTGTTTTCATTTTTCCCATCAAATCATCTCGTTTTAGTGGGTAGAAGCCAGTCTGCAGGATGGCTGAGTGGGGCCCGGAACCCCAGGCTCTGGGTTTCAGGCATGATTCCCATTCCAGTTGCTGAGGCTGCCCTCAGAAGGCTCTGCCCCTATACCGAGGAGGCATCGTCCCCCTCATCGCTGACTGTCCAGCACCTGCTCTGCCCCCACACGGAGGAAGCATCGTCTCCCTCGTCTCTGACTGTCCAGCACCTCCTCGTTCAGGGTCTGTATTTCTAGTTCTTTGAATCCTGTCATGTCTTTGCATTCCATAAGACCTCTGCCTTCTCTGGCAGACTCGGACCATTTTCCCAAGATTGACTTTAAATATTTCCCCGCTAGGATGCATGGCCTTGCATTGACAAAATGAGATACTTACAGCTTCCTCCACACATAATCTGTTACACCGTCAGGGTTGTAAAAATCTCCCTGTAAGATATTTCATTGTCATTGTCCACCTGGTACTTCCAGCCTCCAGAACGTTATGGTTAGAGCTTTGGAATCGAAATTCTACTGCATCCCGGACAAATACCTGGATCTTGATCAAATTTTTTTTATGGAAAAAAATGAGTTTCTTTCATTATGTGAAATGGAATTTCCTATGATAGCGTGATGCTTGTTTTTCAACCAATTGTAGGTACTATATTTATAATAAATATTCCTAGATTGTGTTTGAATGCCATATAACCACTTATTTTGAATTATATCATGCAGATGAAAACAACTCAACTCTTAAAAATAGGGGCTATTTCTTCTTGCGATCTAATCTGATTCAAATCTAACATTATGAAAGCCAGGTGATTTATGTTTTTATGTTTTATTAGATAAATAACATAAAAATACCCATCACAAATGGATGTTTTCTTACTAATGAGCTTTGATTTATTTGTGCATTTCAGACTCGCAAGGTTTTACGTTGTCTTGTGTATAAGTTACTGAAACCAGTGTTTGGGAATTTGAAAGCAAAACATTGCAGAGGCGGGAAGGCCGCTCTACAGCTAGGCTCTTAAGCCTGGAGTTAGTGGGGCTGAGGTGGTGGGGAGGTGGAAATGCGGGGAGGCAGAAAGGCAGGGAGGACTGTGGGAGTTGAAGAAGGACCCAGCGAGCTTGGCATTGGCATTGAGAATCCCTGGCGCCCCATCCGCCCTTTCCTGTAAATAACACATTCATCTCCATGGACACTTCCGGCTCTGGAAGTTGATAATTTGTAAAACTGTTTGTGTATCCCCTGCCATGGTCTTCTCCCACATGTCTTCGAACACGCGGGAAATCAATGACTAAAATCCCAGTGTCTGATGGCCCCTGCGGTGAATACGTGAGGCAGTGGTGCCGTGGATTCTGCATTTATGCAGATGGGCCACCTGCTCCACCTGCGAGGCTTTGGCAGAGCCATGGATTTTCACAGCCCTGTACCCTTTATTCTCAAAAATAGGTTGATTTTTTTAAGTAGGTAGGTCCTTGAAAGCTTCCTCCATATATAAAAATATATTTCCATGTAGCCAGAAACAGAACAGAGAAGAAGAGACACAGGCAGATGAGGAGGGAGGCAGGGGAGAGAAGAGACACAGGCAGATGAGGAGGGAGGCAGGGGAGAGAAGAGACACAGGCAGATGAGGAGGGAGGCAGGGGAGAGAAGAGACACAGGCAGATGAGGAGGGAGGCAAGGCAGGTGAGGGGCTGGGATCTCTCATCGTGCTGTGCGTGGACAGGAGGCAGGCAGAGATCAGGCTGGGAGATCCTGGTGGTGAGATCAGAGGCTTAGACTCCTGCTGTGGGAGGTGCTGTGCTGCTGAGGGCTTTCAGTAGGGTCTCGGGGTGATCAGAGGCTTAGACTCCCGCTGTGGGCGGTGCTCTGCTGCTGAGGGCTTTGATTAAGAGTCTCAGGGTCATGTTAGTCAGAATGTCTTTTGGAAAGAACATTTGTTGTCTCTGGAAGGAAAGATGTGCAGAGACTCTTGAGGGGTCCAGGAGACCAGACGTGGGTCTGGAGACTCCCACGGGCTCTGGAAGGCACCACCCCATTGTGGTGCAGATGAGGGGCCTCACTGGATTGTCCCTGGGGAAACGGGACTGCCCTCCAGCCAGCTCCTCCTGAGGCAGGGCCCTCGCTTGTGCCGGCCTTATGAGGGACCCCCAACCTTGTCCCCAGCCCAGCTCTTAAACTGTCCTTCTGCTTGTGTTCCTGGAGCTCATGAGGGATGCCCACCCTGTCCCCAGCCCAGCTCTTAAACGGTCCATCTGCTTGTGTTCCTGGAGCTCATGAGGGACCCCCACCCTGTCCCAGCACAGCTCTTAAACGGTCCTTCTGCTTGTGTTCCTGGAGCTCATGAGGGACCCCACCCTGTCCCCAACCCAGCTCTTAAACGGTCCTTCTGCTTGTGTTCCTGGAGCCGCCTCTTGCAGGGTTGCTGTGGCCACACTTTGAGGAATTGAAGATTTTTGTAGCTGGGCTCATTGGGGTGACTCCAGGTCGGGTGAACCCCCATTCTCTTCCTGAGTGCTACAGCCACCATGAGGGGTCATGGAACGGGCAGGCTGAGAGCCATGGGCCCCAGGTCTGGTGGCCCTGCATATGGAGGCCCATTCACGTGTAGAGGTCCCTTCGTGTGTGGAGGCCCCTTCGTGTGTGGAGGCCCCTTCGTGGCCACGTTAGAGCCTCGCGTTGCTTTTCCCCGGAGGGTGCTGTGGCTCCCAGGCTCATCATTTGGGGCAGTGGCATTCAGACCACTTGGCTGACCCTCCTGCATCCGATGGACATTGCTGAAGTGGCCTCATCCTGGAGGCCAAGCACTGAGAGGAGGGGACAGCCTGAGGGCAGCCCCAGGCCCCTCCTTTCCCTGTCCCTGTGCAGAACCCTGGAGGGGAGAGATGAGAGTGTTCCGGCATTAACAGAAAACCTTGGAAACTGCAGCTTTCAAGAAAACACTAAGGCCCAGAGGAGGACGGTTAACTACGCCCGTTCTGTTGTAACTGGATGTGAAGTAGAAAGGCTGGAGGTTGTTTTGATGTGGCCTCATAAGGGTTAAGTGGATTAGTCATTCGAGGCTTGGTATAAAGAGTCTGAACTAAGAGTCTAAAGATGCACTTTCCTATTCCGGATCTTTCAAATAATGATTAAGCCACGCAAAATGTTCTAAAATAGATTCTCATTTTCCCAATTTAAATGTAAAACAAAGTAAACCAGGCTTTTTAGGTTTACATGTTTGCCTTTTTAGAAAAGAGCAGCCCCACATTTCAATACGGTTGTGCACCATATCCCGGTGTTGTGTTCCATGAGGACCTGCTCCCCGTGTTGTGTTCCGTGAGGACCTGCTCCCCGTGTTGTGTTCGGTGAGGACCTGCTCCCGGTGTTGTGTTCCGTGAGGACCTGCTCCCCGTGTTGTGTTCGGTGAGGACCTGCTCCCCATGTTGTGTTCGGTGAGGACCTGCTCCCGGTGTTGTGTTCGGTGAGGACCTGCTCCCGGTGTTGTGTTCCATGAGGACCTGCTCCTGGTGTTGTGTTCGGTGAGGACCTGCCCCCGGTGTTGTGTTCCGTGAGGACCTGCTCCCGGTGTTGTGTTCTGTGAGGGCCTGCAGGGAACAGTGGTCCCATGGAATTATACAGCCCAGTCCTTACTGCAGTTTTTCTATGTTTAGCTGGGCTTAGATGTACAGACCCTCGCCACTGTGTTCCAGCTGCCTGCAGGACTCAGCGCGGTCACATGCTGTGTGGGTGTGTAGCCCAGAAGCAACAAGCTGCACCACACAGCCTGGGTGTGCGGCAGGCTCAATCGCCGGGTTTGTATAACACATTCTGATGTTCCCACCATGACCAGATTGGCCAACAACACGTTTCCCAGAACCTGTCCCTGGTGTTAAGAGATATGAGATTGATTTAGCTACTTGGTATTTTATATACTTACGAGCGTGTGTCAGAAATATTGAAGCATAGAACTTAGTGACTTTTTATGAGGGTCCTAAAATATCCAACATGCAAATCAGTCTCTGTTAAGAGATTAAAAGCTCATTGTAAAGTGTTGGAAGTCTGTTCTTTACTAGTTTTTGGCTGATGGAAATAAGCCCTGAAGGTACAGCATGAGTTAACCTGGATGGAAGCATCAGAAGCTCCATGAGGCAGGGTGGCCGGTGTGTGTGTCTCAGGACACTGGCAAGCTGACGCTCCCCACAGGAACTTACAATTCTTTGCCCACTGATAGTCATGTGTTTTCAGTAACAAGAAATCAAAACAAACTCACAATTCCACTTCATGGTCCTCTGTCGCTTTTGTGTACAGACATGGACATTGGAATCACATTTTAAATCTTACTTAGGGCCAGGTGCCGTGGCTCACACCTGTAATCCCAGCACTGTGGGAGGCCAAGGTGGGTGGATCACAAGGTCAGGAGTTTGAGACCATCCTGGCCAACATGGTGAAAACCCGTCTCTAGTAAATATAAAAAATTAGCCAGGCAAGGTGGCACGTGCCTGTGTTCCCAGCTGCTCGGGAGGCTGAGGCAGGGGAATTGTTTGGACCCGGGAGGCAGAGGTTGTAGCCAGCTGAGATTGCGCCACTGCACTCCAGCCGGGAGACAGAGTGAGACTCCATCTCAAAAAAAAAAAAAAAAATTTACTTAAAGAGGTAAAAACTGATTAAAAATTGAAAGTGATTTTATACTCTTCTGGAATTGAAGCAAGTCTTATCACTCACATTTGCAGCTATAATCCTAATGAAGTTTTGTAAAATGCTGGGAGGAGACGTTGATATTATTTCGAGAGGGGCACCTGCTCCCACGAGCCTTGCGGGAAGCCTGAGTTTGCCAGTGTTGCCTCGTAGGTGACTCCTGCTGTCTTGGTTTCATTTTTGCTTAGTTTTCTTGTAACTGTGGATACAGTTCGAGTTGGTGCTGGCATGTTCCATTCTCCCACGTTGTACCTTTTCACATGTTAACCTGAATCCTACGTTTTACGATAGGAAAGAATCAGTCCTTGTGGCAGAGGCCCACTGAGGAGCAGCCTGGATTCATGTCTGGGAGCGCTGACTCTGCAGTCAGCAACCGTGGGCCTTGGACCCCCAGGACCACATTTGTAAAGCCTGGATTCATGGCTGGGAACGCTGACTGTGAATTCAGCATCCATTCAGCCTTGTAACCCCAGGTGCACATTTGTAAAGTGAGTAAGGACAGGCAGTTCTAATTCTAATCATGGTCAAGGGATCCTGCGCGTGTAGCTCACGTCGGGCACTTCACACAAGTTAAGGGATCATGTCGGGCACTTCACGTGGGTTAAGGGATCGTGTCAGACACTTCACGCGAGTTAAGGGATCGTGTCAGACACTTCACGCGAGTTATATGAGATGATGCAAAGAGTGGTGTCCGATGCAGAGGGACCTTCAGTTAATCTGCCAGAAGTGAGGTGCGTTATTGACAAACGCACTCTGGCCTCTTTAGATTTGAAAGTTGTTATTTGGAGAAGGAGATGTTTGGATTGATGGGAAGTTTAGTGTTCTGTTTTTTGGTATAGATGTGATTGTATGGGTGTATTTATTTTTTCTCATTTATTATTCAAAAAAGTAATAAAAAGCAACTCACAGATATGACGATTGACATTCAAAGTAAAACAATATCAACAAGATAAACCAGGAGCAGAAGGGACCTGTCAGCATGAACCGCCGTACGCTTGAGATAAGCCAGGAATTTGTGTCTAAAAAGGGATGGAGGCTCAATTAGGTGACTCATGCACCCATTAGATAAAAGCAGATGCCGCGTTTTCTGAACCCCAACTGTAACTGGTCCCTGGCGACAAGGAGACACCCCCCTGGGTGTTTACCAGGAGGCTGTAAAGCGTGGCACGGACCAGAGGCTGCACAGCAGCATCTTCGTAACCATAGCAACCAGCAACCAGCCTCTTCCTCCCAGGCAGGGCGTCCCAAGACAGACCGCACCAGAGGCCTGATGTTTGGTGCAGTCATCTTTGCGGGAAAATGGAAGTGTGGCACAGCACGCCCCCAGCTCTGCAGCGGCTGGGCTGAGAGACCGGAGATGGGCCTCCCTGATGAGGGGAAGGGTGGCCTCTCTTCATAGCATGACCCCTAGCTCGGCAGCGGCTGGGCTGAGAGACCGGAGACGGGCCTCCCTGATGAGGGGAAGGGTGGCTCTGAGGGGCCGGTCCTGGCTGTGTCCTACTGTTGCCCAGAGCACAGCTTACTCCGTACACATTTCCTCATGCCACTCAGTTTTCTTTAGAAGGATGCGCATTATTTTCCTTAATTTTGAGAAAAAACATGTTTGTTTTTTAATGTTTTGGGAAATATAAAATGCACTCATTTTATAACAGAAGAAAAGCAGTAATTCTACCTTCACACGGTTCTCTGGATCTTTCAGCTGCTTTTCCCAGGTTTCAGGGGCCCCATTAGTAGCCACTCAGAGTCAGGGGTGCCGGGCACGTGCCTGCTTTCAGGAAAAACGAGTGACTGGCTTAGTCACCCAGGCTGCTGTAACACATTGCCATAGATGGGCGGCTGAAAACAGCACCTTCATGTATCTGTTCTGGATACTCCAGATCCACGTGCCGGCAGGTGGGGTTCCTGGTGGGAACCTTCTCCCTGGCTTGCGGGAGGCGCTTTCTCACTCTGTGCTCATGTAGGGGAGAGAGGGAGCTCTGGGCTCTTCACGTCTTATAAGTGGCTCATCCCACCTTGGGTTCTCCACCACCCACATAACCTCATCCCACCCGAATCACTTCCCAAAGGCCACACCCTCCTCTTACCGTCCCACTGGAGGTTAGGGCTTCACCGTGTGAATTTAGGGGGACACGAACACCTGCTCCATACAGTGACTTTCATGAGAATGAACATGGGTGCTGTTCCACATTAGGTGAGATGTTTGCCGGACGCGGCTGCTGTTCCACATTAGGTGAGATGTTTGCTTTGGGGTTCTGGTAAGATATGCTGTGTTACAGACATTTCCTGTATTTCTAGCTTGTGAAGGGGTTTTATCCAGAATATCTTTTGAATTCTATGCTTTTTGGGGACATCTGAGTTATTTTTTCCTCCTTGGAAATGGTCCCGTTTTTCAATGCTGAGTCATTCTTCCATTCTACTGGATTTGATTGACAGATACCTTAATTAGAATGTTTGTATCTTCATAAGTGTGACTGTTATGAATTAGAGAGGATCGATGGTGTCTTAAGCTTGACCAGCTGTGAAAGATTACAGGTTGCATTTAACTGTCAGCACAGACTAGAATAAGATGGTGTGTGTGTTCCCAGATAATGCACAAAGGTTAGTGCTGTGATCTCTTAATGAATGACAGTTTTTCATTATATGTGTTAATTGCAAAATCAACAAGCCAACCTTATTTGAGAGTAAAAATCTACTGTCGTATTTAAAAGACATAAATTTGTAGAAATAGAAAGCCATGTTTTTGATGACTTTTAAATCCTGTAGAGAGTCTTTATTTTGTTTTTGGTGATTTTTATTGCAAAATCTCTTCTGTTAATCAGTTTATGTTAAAGCCTGAGATAAAAACTAGACTACCTGAAGCATTGCCTGGAGATGGGTTAGTGAGGGACTAGCAAAACCAGCTGGTAGGTACAAATTTCTGTAATATTACAGTTAAGCTACTTGTCTTTCCTGGGTGGTTAAAAGAGGAGTGCAAGGTTAAGAATCAACTAAATAATTAAAAGACTGATCTGCAGCAGTGAATACAAAACTCACTGGTAGTTTTTCTTGGCAACATTTACTTACTGTAGCATATATGTGTACACCTTGATATAGAACTGAGCTGGCATGCACTCGCCCAACACAGTAAAGCCAGATGCTCACACCGAAGTTTTGGCAGTGATGTAAAGAAGGCGTTTACTGGAGAGCACTGGGCAAGGAGACCAGGCAGCTGCCGCTCTAATCCTGGCCTCCCTGATGGCTATAGCAAGGATTTTTAAAGGTAGGGTTGCAGAAGCTACAGGCAACATCATAAATCAACCCATGGAGGCCACACATTGGTTTAAGCTTAGAAGGGCAGGACGCCCAGTCGCTGGGGCTCATGGATCATAGATGGATTCAGAGATCTTCTCATTTGCAACTGGTTAAAGAAGAGAAGCTTTGTTTAAAAATTTGGGGGTCAACAGAAAAATGTTAACTCGCTAGAAAGACTTACTTTCTCCAAGGCCCTCAGGGAGAAATTTAGAGCAAAGGGCAATCCTTGAAGTTGTGTCTTCACTTCCCCCTAATCTGGGGTCTGTGTGTGGTGGGGTCCTTAGTCGGGGTCAGAGCCTGTGAAGGACAGTTCAAGGGCAGTTTCCAGGCGTTCCTTTAGTTTCCAGAAGAAAGCAAACATCTCTGGAGCATTAGCTTCCTTGGCTATTGTTTTAGGTGATTACCTTCTTAACAAGCTACTTAAGCACTCCTGGGGCCAGCCAGATACCTGGCATTTTTCTGAAAAGAACTTTGGAATTTTCCTTTACTTCCATGCCTGGGGGTTTGCAGGCTCCTGAAAGTGGGGGGTTTCCAGTTCATTTCAACCTCTCTGCAGAAGATTATGATTAGAAAATCATCAAAAATAAATTCATCTTTCTGTAAAACCAGGAAGTTATCATAAAATTATATTGATCATTAATAGGAGTCATGAGAAATATATATGAATAAAAATATATATTTTTTGCTTTTAGAAGGGACTTAGAATGATAAGTAATAGATATGTCTTCTGGAAAACAATTAAGTCCAACTTTATCAGAAATAGATTTCTGAAACTGTGACTATTTTGACCAAATTATAAAGCTGGTTTGGAGTTAAGAAGGGCCTGGACACAAACACTTTGCTCACCAAGTCAAAATAAATATTATTCAGATTTTATTACAGCATAAATTCTAGTTTAGCCAGCATCACAAATGTGAGGAATTCATATTAATATTAATCATATGAATGTAAGCAATAGAATTAAGAGTAATCTAAAACCAGACTTTGATTTTTGGATTTCAGATAACACAGTAGTATTTAATTTGTAATGAACATCACTCAGTTGTTTTATACAATCATAAAATCCGTATTGGGAATTGATTAACCCTTTTTTTTTTTAAGTTCAGTGGTACAAGTGCAGGTTTGTTACATAGGTAAATGTGTGTCATGGGGGTTTGTGATACAAATTGTTTCCTTATCCAGATATTAAGCCCAGTACCCATTAGTTACTTTTCCTACTCCTCCCCCTCCTCCCCCCTCCACCTCCCACAGGCCCCTGTGGATGTTGGTCCCCTTTATGCATCCATGAGTTCTCATCATTTAGCTCCCACTTATAAGACAGAACATGTGGCATTTGTTTTCTCTCCATTAGTTCACTGAGGATAATGGCCTCCAGTTCCATCTGTGTTCCTGCCAAGGACATGATCTTGTTCTTTTTATGGCTGCATAGTATTCCATGGTATACATGTACCACATTTTCTTAATCCAGTCTACCATTGATGGCATTTAGGTTGATTCCATGTTTTTGCTCTTGTGAATAGTGCTGCAATGAACGTGCATGTGTCTTAGTGGTAGAACGATGTATATTCCTTTGGGTTTATACCCAGTCATGGGATTGCTTGGTGCAATGGTAGTTCTGTTTTTAGGTCTTTGAGGCATCACCACTCTGTCTTCCACAATGGTTGAGTAATTTACACTCCCACCAACAGTGTATAAGCAATTCCTTTTTTTCTGCCACCTTGTAAGCATGTGTTATTTTTTGAGTTTTAGTAATAGCCAGGAATTTGCATTAATTAATGATAGAACTTACATTAATCATATTAATAATGTAAGCAATGTAATCTAAAACATGATTTCAAATTGAATAAACTTGTATAAGTTCGTTTTCACACTGCTATAAAGAACTGCCTGAGAATGGGTAATTTATAAAGGAAAGAGGTTTAACTGACTCACAGTTCAGCAGGGCTGGGGAGGCCTCAGGAAACTTATTCATGGTGGAAGGAGAAGCAGGCCCATATTACGTGGCGGCAGGCGAGGGAGAGCATGTGAGAGCACAGAAAAAAACACCATTTATAATATAAACCAGATCTCCTGAGAACTCACTATCATGGGAACAGTGTGGGGGAGACCTCCCTCCGTGATCCAATCCCCTCCCGCCAGGTCTCTCCCTAAACACTTGGGGGTTACCATACAAGATGAGATTTGGGTGGGGATATCAATAGAATCAATATCAAACTCTATTGATTAAACTTTGAATATGATTTTTAGTGCTAAAGAGACTCCGATAAGATGATTCTATTCTTTATTTTCTATTTCCTCCATTCTTGTCACTGAAAGGTGTCCCTCCCCAAGGACTCTAACACCTTAACCTGTAAAGCTTTCTGGGATTTGACAGTTTTTTTGCTGCTATTGGTTACATAAAATTACAAGTATAGGCACTTACCCTATATAACATTGTGGGGTTTTTTGTTTTGTTTTTGCTTTTTAACAAATACATGTCAGTTAGTATTTTCCAAGCTGCCTAAGGAAAACCTTTGTCCCCAAATCCATTTTCAAGAATTAAAAAGCAGCTTCAGGACACAGTTTCATAAAAACAAAAGCAAAGCTAAGGACCCAGGCGGCTGTCTGAGTGCATCTCGTCTTAGGGGAAAGAGCCTTTGAGGGTGCGTCAGTGGAGAGGCGGAAATGGTTTTAGGAACCACGCAGAGATAGTTACTTAGAGATTTCTCACCTTGGATCCTAGAAGGGTTTTTTTGTGGGTTTTTTTTTTTTTTTTTTTTTTTTGTCCATATCTTAAGAAGCGCTAGACTCTGAAAAGGGGCATGCGGTCTTTCAGGAGACGGAGCGTGGCACACCTAAGGGGAACGACATTCTCAAGGTGATCCCTTCCTCACTGCCTTGCGGCATGTCAGAAAGTGTGCTTTCCAGGAACTGCAGGTTGGGCGCTAAGCCTTCGTTTGAAAAAAGCCAAACCTCTCCATGGATCCCTAAGCTTACCGATGCAGAGGATGGCCACTTTTGTGGACAGTATGAGCTGGTGATATTTCTGGTAGAAAAACACGAAGGAGATGTTCATGATGACAAAACAATAGATCTCTGCTGAGCACGGGGGATTGGCAGGAATCATCGCAGGGAAGGTTGCCCGTCGTGTAATCACAAGCAATCATTTTTCGAAGTTAAGAAACGAGATTTAAACTGCTTTACAGTTTACCTCTTGGCCACAGAGCACAGAATCAATGAGCCAGATCCTCCAAAAATCAAACTTTATTCAAGTCAAGAAGCTCATTCTCTTCCTGTGCTTAAGATATTTTTCCCAACCTGCTCATGAAAAATTCACGCAAGGGATTTGAGATTCCCCTTGCCTTCCTCTTGCTTCCAGGGGAAGCTGCCAGGTAGAAGTAGTGAGGAATCTGGTATTGCACTGTCCCAAGGGGCGGGACACCTGCCTTTGAAGACCCCTGGGTTCTGCTCCCTTAGGCACATGAGTTGGGTTGACCTCACACCTGGCCTCAATTTCCAGCCCTCTCATTTACCAGCGAATAGACTTCAAACCTCGTAAAAAAAAACTCCCCTCCCATCAGCCATGAAGTGGGCTTGTAACTCAGATGCCCCGCAGCCTGTCCACAGCAGATGCTCGTGGGAGAGAAGGGAGTGGGAACACAGCTTCCCTGCAGCAGCAGATCTGGACAGCTCTCTGGCTCCCCATACAGGCCGGGGTGGATGCCCTCCTCATCGTCAGGCTGGCTCTGCATAATCAAAGCTTCCTTCGTGAGGGCCACGGCAGACAACGTGGCTAGCACCAAGTACGGTGCCTGGTGTGTAGACAACATAGGGCACTCAGATCTAGTGCCTGGTGCACAGCAGACCCATGACTCTGAACACATGACTATGCTCAGTAAAAACGTCTTTCTCTATGCTCTTCAAATTGAATGTGGATTCCCCCAGCTTCGTGCCTGAAGAGAGTGAGGAACCACCCGAAGCCAGCTCTTGAGGCTGGCAAACATGGAGGCCAGGGAGCAGGAGCACACGGGGCGTGTTGGTGGTGCAGGTGCGCCTAGAAGACCAGGCCTGGCTGCTCTCCAGAATGACCATTTTTAAATGTAGTGATCTTAAATGGTGAAGAGTAAATGCTCAGAACAAAGACATTTGATAGCACCTGTTGAGTGCTGGAGGTATTCTGTTTGTGCTGCTTCAACTTGTGTGTAGTATGTCTGAAAAACTGTAATCCTGCCTCTCAAGATGGTGCCCAGCCACTGTGCTAGCTCAGGCCATGATCCCAGAATGGCTCAAACAACAGGAACTTATGTTCTTGCAGTTCTGGAGGCTGGCAGTCGAGGACAAGGGGCCCATAGCCTGGTTGGTTTCTCCTGAGGCCTCTCTTCCCAGCTTGCAGCGTGGCCTCCTCCTTGTGGCCTCCTCCCTGTGTGCCGGGGCCTCCCCTCTGTGCATGAGTAGGGGAGAGCCCTGGCATCTGTTCCCCTTGTTACAAAGACACCAGTCCTATTGAATTAGGGTTCACTCAAAACCTCATTTAACCTGGATTGTTTCTTCCTAGGCCGTCTCCAAACTATAGTCCTATTGGACTGGTGCACCAAATATGGATTTGGGGTGTGCGTAATTCAGTCCATAGCACCCACCAAACCACAGAAGCTGCCCCGAGCTGATGTCCCGCTATCGGTGCGGCTGCAGGACACTGTCCCATTGCTGCATGGAGCCTCTCGCTGTCTGAGCCTCACCTGAAGCCGGCCCACACCATTTTCTTACTCTATGCATTGGAGCGAAAATGTTTAATTGACTACGATGGGTGATTCCTAAAGTTATATTTGACTCAGAAAAAAATGCATTAGTAAAACTCCCTGTTTGAATGTTTCTAGTATTCACAGCCCGGGTCACTGTCTTTCTATAACGATTGGTATCTGAAATAAGAACATGGGCTGCAACTTACAGCCTTGCTCTTTCTACTATATAAACTTCCCTAATCAAATATTTTTCATTAAAAAAATGTGTTTTTGGAAATAAACAGTTACAACCTGGTTCCCAGCTATCTCTTTTTATTTTTTTTCTTTTAAGACAGAGTCTAACTCTTGCCCAGGCTGGAGTGCAGTGGCGTGACCTCAGCTCACTGCAATCTCTGCCTCCGGGGTTCAAGCAGTTCTAGTGCTTCACCCCCTGGGGTAGCTGGGACTGCAGGCATGGGCCGCCATGCTGGTCACAAACTCCTGGCCTCAAGCAATCCACCCGCCTCAGCCTCCCATCATGTAGGATTACAGGCGTGAGCCACGGCGCCCGGCCCCCTCTCTCGATGGAAGCTTTTCACATCCACACTGCCCCGCTGACACCGGGATGGCAGCTCTTAATCCCTTGATGCCATGAATCCAGCAGAGCGAGCCTGAGAATGGATTTGAGGGGAAACGGGGTGTCTCCCAGCTCACTGGTGCTCAGCTTTGGAAAGCGCAGCTCCTGGGTGGCTTTCCTCAATGCTCCCTGAGTCCCCTGTTGGTTCTCTAAGCATCGCAGGAGCCTAGGTTTCCCCTGGGAGCCACTTGGGGAGGCCTGGGTGTCCTGTCTGCATGCCGATGAAGACCTCACAGGGGGCTGGAAGCTCTGCAGGCCCTGCCTGCCCTGCATGCTTCCCCCACTGCGAGGGATTTCTCCACAGATCTGGCTTCTCCCCTGCTGAACCTGTGCTTTCTGATCTGCCTCACTCGTGGCCTCACTCATGGCCATCGGCCCTCAGGTCCACGGGGCCCTGAAAATGCTTTGAATAGAGCAGGCTGGGGTGGGCTGGCAAGCAGAGAGGGACACAGGCAGCCCATTAGAAACACGAGAAGACACTGAGAAGTTCAAGTGCGAATAAAGTGCCGAGTGACATTCCCAACGAATTCCGTCTTTAAATGGAATGTTGCTGGCCTCCCTCTCAGGTCTGCAAAAATATTTTTTGAAGCCAAGTTTCAGTCTGCAGCGGTGCCTTCTCTTCCTGTTTATTTACTAGTCCTGGCCTGTGCGGCTGGTGGGAAATTCTTCTTGTTTATTTACTTGTCCTGACCTGTGCAGCTGGTGGGAAACTCTTCCTGTTTATTTACTAGTCCTGGCCTGTGCGGCTGGTGGGAAACTCTTCCTGTTTATTTACTAGTCCTGGCCTGTGCGGCTGGTGGGAGACTCCTCCTGTTTATTTACTTGTCCTGGCCTGTGCGGCTGGTGGGAAACTCTTCCTGTTTATTTACTGGTTCTGGCCTGTGCGGCTGGTGGGAAACGTTCACCCTGCCTCAGCCCCCTGGCTGGTTACGCACTGTTCTAGTTGAAGGAACTTTTGAAATTGCTCTGGAAGTCCTGGTTGTTCAGGTGTTTCCTCGGGTGATGACTGTTTCCTGAGCGCCTGCTGCCGGCCGCTGCGGCCTGGCTGGGGGGATGTGGGCATGGGTGGCCTGCTGGGCTGCCTGTGAGACTGGGGTGTGCACAGGGCGGGGGGAGCTCCCAGCCACCAATGGCTGCCCCTCGTTGCCCCTGTGTTCTCTGCCAACAGCTGTGCTTATCTTACAAAATCAGGTCAGTAAGCACTGTCTCAGCTGAGGCTGCAGGGATGCAATACCATAGGCTGGGCAGCCTTGTCAGCAGACATTTCCTTCTCACAGTTCTGCAGGCTGCAAGTCCGTGATCAAGGTGCAGCAGGTGTGGAATCTATGGATGATGGTGTCCTGGCTCACAGATAACACCCTCTCATGTGTCCTCACGTGGAGCAAGGGGCCTCCCTCGGCGCTAATCCCATTTGCAGGAGCCCCACCCTCTCAACCTAGTCACCTCCCAAAGCCATCACCTTGGGGGTTAAGATTTCACTGTGTGAATCTTGAGGGTACAAACATTCAGTCCGTGGCAAGTAGGAAGCCCACAGGTCACTAATTAACATGAAGCCCAGGGAGACACTTTATCAAGGGAACAGTAAGGCCACCTAGAACTGTGGCACCCGACAGGCCCCTGTTATTTCAGGACCTTCTTGGAGAGGGAGTGAGGATGGTGCCTGGCACAGGGTTTGGGGTCTGACAGGTCCCAGGGGCTCTCTCAGCACCGTAAGTGTATTAACTTTTTTAATTCTCATAAGGGGTCTGTGGCGTAGGGTTCTATTACTGGCTGCAGTTAAGGTGAGGGAAATCGGGGGGAAGTGAGGGGATTTCCCTGAGGTCACACGGCTGGTATTTGGCAGAGCGAGGCTTGAACTTGGATATTCTGGGGCCTGAGCCAGCCTTGCTGCCCTCTCCACTGTGCAGGAACATGGCACATTTTCATAACATTTCAAATTTTAAATGGTGCTTTTTTTCTATGTAAGCATCATAACAGTGTGGCCATCAGCCCAGTAAGAAGAATCATCTCCCATTTCCATTACAAGGAAACCTAGATTCAGAGCAGATACAGCACTTGGCCAGGCCCATGTCGTAGCGGGGAGGTGCGACCAGGGTGACATGAAACTCCGGGCCTCAGCGCTCGTCCCGCTCTGCCGAGGGCATTCCTGGATGAAGTGTTGCCGGGTGGGTGACAGCACCTCTGCTCCTTGGGAGGCTCTGGATGGTCCCACGCCTTCCCTCTGGCCTCCCTTCCATCTGGAAGGCAGAACAGGGCACACACACCTGCTCCGTCCTCTTTGCAGTCTCCTCCATGCCTCATGCCCTAGGGTGCTTGTTCCCCTACCAGTGGTCTGTCCCAGCAACTCCCAGAACCAGCCCTGGTGCCCTTCGGAGGCCCCTGGGTCCCATGCACCTGCTCAGAGGCCTCCTGGGGCTCTGGCCCTCATCCTCCTTTCCCTCACTCAGCCGGGCTGGGAGCTGACTTATCAGAGGCCCCATAGGGCTCTGGCCCTGACCCTCCCTTCCCTCACTCAGCCAGGCTGGGAGCTGACTTCCTAGGTTGTCCTCCTGTAGTTCTTGCCACCTTGTTCTTTTTAAATTCCCTGCCTTGGCCGGGCACAATGACTCATACCTGTAATCCCAGCACTTTGGGAGGCTGAGGTGGGCAGATCACTTGAGATCAGGAGTTCAGAGACCAGCCTGGCCAACAGGGTGAAACCCTGTCTCTACTAAAAATACAAAAATTAGCTAGGCGTGGTGGCATATGCCTGTAATCCCAGCTACTCAGAGGCCAAGGCAGGAGAATCGGCAGAAAAATCGCTTGAACCGGGGGGTGGAGGTTGCAGTGAGCAGAGATTATGCCACTGCACTCCAGCCTGGGTGACAGGGCAAGACTCTGTCTCAAAAATAGATAAAAATGATAAGTTCTCTGTCTTCTTCATTGAAGGTGTGGCAGGAATGTGGTTTGGTTTCCTTGGGTCTGTCTTTGTTGAGTTCAGGACTCTGCTGTGTCCTGTGGACAGTAATGATGGGGAGGCCGTGCTGCCTGGAAAAGGCAGCTTTCTCCTGGGGAGGGACTGAGGGGCTTTTACGTGGGGGCTGGGTCATGACTTCCAAAGCAGATGTGGGAGTGACAGGGAGTGTTCAACTGAGATTAGAGAAAGGTGTTCGTTTCAACTGAGCGTTGAAAGTTGAATACTTTTTAAATTAACTTATTTTTAAATTCTGTAACTGGATTCCCCAACAAAATTGAATTTGGGCTAAAGAAACCCAATTGGACCTGATTTATTTTATGCTTGATAAAGCATTTCAAGCATTATTTTATGCTTAAAAACTCACGGGCACGTGAATCAGAACTCTTGAATTC